>NC_000020.11:3248153-3399668 GCF_000001405.40 Homo sapiens | reverse complement strand
AAGGGGTTTCCTTGTTGAGTCAGTTCTCTTTAGAGAGCTGTCTTGGAAGCTTCTGCTTGATGACTTCTGTGTATGTCTCATTGATCAACTCTGGAGGCAAAGGACCTGGACCTATTGCTGCCACAAATAAAGTTGTGGTACTCTACTAAGAAAGAAAAGGAGGCCGGGCGCAGTGGCTCATGCCTGTAATCCCAGCACTTTGGGAGGCCGAGGCGGGCGGATCGCAAGGTCAGTGGTTCAAGACCAGCCTGGCGAGCATGATGAAACCCTGTCTCTACTAAAAATACAGAAATTAGCCAGGCATGGTGGCAGGTGCCTGTAACTCCAGCTACTCCGGAGGCTGAGGCAGGAGAATTGCTTGAACCTTGGTTGCAGTGAGCCGAGATCGCACCATTGTACTCCAGCCTGGGTGACAGAGTGAGACTCCATCTCAAAAAAATAAAATAAAAAATAAATAAGAAAAAGAGAATGGATATGGATTAGTCAACTGTTTATTTTTACCAGGGAGGTAGCTGTGTGGAATGAAGTTTACATTGCTTAGGATTACTAATGGCTCTGGTGAGCTACATGAAAGTACTGGGAGAAAATTTAAATCATTGAATAATTCAGTGATGCCAGCACATTCTTCAGGCATATCAAGGCATATCATATGTGTGTGTTTGTCCCTTCAGTTTGAGTCACCTTATGGTCATTGGTCAGCCATGTATTAGCTATGACAGCAGGAACATTGGCTAGCTTTTTTCCATTGCAGGTTATTCCTCCAGCAAAGACATCAGTGGGAAGTGTCATTTATTGCCTTACTGCACATCCTGGCTTTTTGCCTTTTCTCCCCATGTCTAGTTTTGCAAAGGGAGGTAAATGATTGCTGCTTTAATGCAGGGCCAGGTTTCTTAAACCCATAGCAGTCCTGCAATGAGCTCTTTTTAATCAGCACCGAAAGTCTAGATTAATGCCAATATAGCTTTTATTACTTCTGCTGTTGATTCCCAAACCCCACCAACATTTTATTGTGAAACATTTCACAAGTACAGAAAAGTTTCAAGAATTGTTCAGTGAACATTTGTATATACCATACCTAGATTCTATACTTAATGTATTTGTTGTATTTGCCTTCTCATATAAGGCAGATCCTTTTCTCTATCCATCCAATTTTTTTTTTAATGCTTTTCAAAATAACTTGTAGACACCAGTGTGGTTCAACCCTAAACACTTCCTGGAATTGATTTTATATTAAGAATGCTTTCCATTGCAAGTGACAGTAATCCAACTCAAAGGATTTAAGTAAAAAAATGGAATGTATTGGCTTATTTGGCTGGAAAGGATATTGGGGAGATAGACTTATAGGAAGAGTTGCTGGAACTAGTGCCTTAGGGACTGGAGCCAAGACTCTGCTATCAGAACAGTTAACTCTGTCTATGCTGTCTCTCGTCTGCTTCTCACTACCTGGTTGCGCATTCTCCTACGAATATATCTTCCCCAAGGCAGGGAAGATGGTTACTGTAGCCCCAAACCACATTCTTCCTGCATGGTGATCCTGGAGGCCATTTCTCTTCTAGCTTTAGAGTGAGATAGCCCTGGAAAGGACTCCAGTTGACCTGACTTGCACCTGGATAAATCATGATGGGACACTGGCTTGGGAGGGTCACAGGATGTGTTACCAGGGGAGGTAGAAATGGAAAGTGTGCTGAGAGGAGTATAGTCCTCAGAAACTGCTTTCCCACTCATTCTCTGAGGCTGGCATAATCCTGGTACTTGATTAGGAAAGCACAAAGGAGAGCTACAAATGCAAAAATCGTTAAGTAAAACAATAGTATATTGAATCTAGAAGCATGGTAAAACAACAGTACTACTTCATGCACATGTAGGCTTTGTCCAATAAATGCAAGAATTGTTCATTATTAGGAAATCTATTAATGAAGTTAATAGACTGGTAGATGTTCCCCCCCCCCAAAAAAAATCTGCTTAAAATTTAACACTCATTCCTGATTTAAACCACTAATATAATAAGGTTCCAGCTAATTTAATAAGATAAGCAAAAGCAATAATCATAAGGCTGGGCGTGGTGGCTCACGCCTGTAATCCCAGCACTTTGGGAGGCTGAGACGGGCAGATCACGAGGTCAGGAGATCAAGACCATCCTGGCTAACATGGTGAAACCCTATCTCTACTAAAAATACAAAAAATTAGCTGGGCTTAGTGGCAGGTGCGTGTAATCCCAGCTACTCGGGAGGCTGAGGCAGGAGAATGGTGTGAACCCAGGAGGCGGAGCCTGCAGTGAGCCAAGATCATGCCACTGCACTCCAGCCTGGGTGACTGAGCGAGACTCCGTCTCAAAAAACAAAAAACAAAACAAAACAAAAAAAGAAATAATCATCTATCCATTGACTGGATTATTACAGTAGACTCTTTTTTTTTTTTTTTGATACGGGGTCTCACTCTTGTCACCCAGGCTGGAGTGCAGTGGTGTGATCTCCACTGACAGCAACCTCTGCCTCCCAGGCTCAAGCAATCCTCTCAACTCAGCCTCCTGAGTAGCTGGGACTACAGATGTGTGCCACCACACCTGGCTAATTTTTGTGTTTTTTGTAGAGACGGGATTTTGCCATGTTGCCCAGGCTGGTCTCAAACTCCTGGGCTCAAGCAGTCTGCCTGCCTTGACCTCCCCCAGTGCTGGGATTACAGGCATAAGCCACCATGCCTGTCCAGCAGTAGAGTCTTAATCGGTCTCTCAGGTTCAACTTTTATCGCCCTTCAGTCTGTTTTCAACACAGCAAATAGAGTGATATTATTAAAATGTATGTCATACCTCTTTTTGAAGCACTCTAAGCACTACAAGTAAAAGCTGAAATAATCAAGTACTAGACCTTAACTAATCTTCCCCCCTACACACATAGTTTTTTTTTTCCTCTTCATCTCCTGCAACTCTCTTCCTCACCTACTCTGCTCCAGCCATACCGGCTCAGTGACACTCCCTTCAGGGCCTTTGCCCTTGCTGCATAGCTTGTGCTCTCACTTCCTTTAGGTCTTTATGCAAAGGTATTCTTGATGAAGCCTTTCCTGATCTTGCTTTTAAACTGCACTCTACCCTCCTCTTAGGACTCACAACCTCCCACTTACCACCATATGACAAGTGTATTTTACTTACTTATTTAGTTTATCTCTCCTCTCTCACGCCTCCCTCCCTTAAAATTAAGTTCTGGTTTTGTTCCGAGGATTTTTTGTCCTTTCATTTATTGCTAAATCCCCAGTGCTCTGAACAGTTGGCACACAGTAGGTGCTCAATAAAAAGTTGATGAATTAATGAGTTGAAATAAAAACTGTAAATAAATTGTAAATAAAAAAAGGAAGAGAGAAAACTGCTTTGATTTACTAACTGGAAAACTTAAGACAATAGACAAAACTGTTAGAACTAATTAGAGTTTAGCAAGTTCTTTGAAAAAATGTAACGGACTCTGTATTAGTCTGTTTTCATGCTGTTGATAAACACATAACCTGAGACTGGGCAATTTACAAAAGAAAGAGGTTTATTGGACTCACAGTTCCACGTGGCTGGGGAAGCCTCACAATCATGGTGGAAGGTGAAAGGCACATCTCACATGGCAGCAGACAAGAGAAGAGAGCTTGTGCAGGGAAACTGCCATTTTTAAAACCATCAGATCTCATGGGACTTATTCGCTGTCATGGGAACAGCACAGGGAAAGACCCATCCCCATGATTCAATTACCTCCTACCAGGTTCCTCCCATGACCCATGGGAATTATGGGAGTTACAATTCAAGATGAGATTTGGGTGGGGACACAGGCAAACCGTATCAGATTCCTCATGACATTCAAAATAGAAACAAAAACTGCAAAATACCTAGGAATCAACCTAATAAGAATGTTAAAGATTATTTTATAAATAAAAATATAAAACTTGACACAAGGGTATATAAAATGAGAGGAAGGAAAGGAGAGACATAATCATGTTCCTGAGTAGGGAGCTCAGTACTGTCCAGATGCAGTATGATTATAATACAAATTCCCAGCAGAAGAGTTTATGGAACTTGACAAGCTGATTTTACACTTCCTCTGAAAGACAAAATGTTCAGGCCAGGTGTGGTGGCTCACACCTGTAACCCCAGCACTTTAGGAGGCCAAGGCGGTGGATTGCTTGAGGCCAGGAGTTCAAAAGCAGGCTGGCCAACATGGTGTAACCCTGTCTTTACTAAAAATACAAAAATCAGCTGGGCATAGTGGCGCACATCTGTAATCACAGCTACTCGGGAAGCTGAGGCATGAGAATTGCTTGAACCTGGGTGGTGGAGGTTGCAGTGAGCTGAGATTGCACCACTGCATTCCAGCCTGGGCAACAGATCAAGGCTGTCTCAGAAAAAAAAAAAGAAAAAAGAAAATGTTCGGCCAGGCGCGGTGGCTCACGCCTGTAATCCCAGCACTTTGGGAGGCCGAGACGGGCGGATCACGAGGTCAGGAGATCGAGACCATCCTGGCTAACACGGTGAAACCCCGTCTCTACTAAAAATACAAAAAAAAAATTAGCCGGGCATGGTGGCGCACGCCTGTAGTCCCAGCTACATGGGAGGCTGAGGCAGGAGAATGGCGTGAACCCGGGAGGCGGAGCTTGCAGTGAGTCGAGATCGCGCCACTGCACTCCAGCCTGGGCGACAGAGCGAAACTCCGTCTCAAAAAAAAAAAAAAAAAAAAAAAAAAAAAAAAAAAAGAAAAAAGAAAATGTTCAGTAAAAGCCATGGAATCTTTGAAACAATGATAGAAGGACTTGCCTCATCAGCTATAAAAGTAATCTGTATACTAGCAAGTTCAAGTGCTAGCTAGCATACCTTAAAGCTCTGATTATTTTTTTAAGCGCAGTATTCCTGTGAGAATAGGTAAATGCCTCAGATAGAGATCCAAACAATAGATCCAACTATATACGACAGTTTAGCAAATTCTGAAAGTGTCATTCCAGATCAGAGGATTAAAATAATATATGATCTTGGAATAGTCATTCCTGTTTGGGGGAACAAAATGCAGTTGGGTTCCTGCTTCACGAAAGTAAAAAAATTCCAGTGGAATAAAGAACTAAATGTTTTTTATAAACCAACATATATAATTAGAATGAAATTTGACATTTATTATTTTGTTTATAATACTGACTGGGGAAGGCACAAGAGGAAGACATAAAACCCTTAAGCTTAAAGGTGAAGATACACAGATTTAATTACATAACATTTTTAAACTTCGGCATGAAAAAGAGACTATAAACAAAATCTAGAGAATTGGAGAAAATATTTGCAACACATGGCCAAAATACAACTTTTTTTTTTTTTTTTTGAGACGGAGTTTCACTCTTGTCTCCAGGCCGGGAGTGCAATGGCATGATCTCAGCTCACCGCAACCTCCGCCTCCTGGGTTCAAGTGATTCTCCTGCCTCAGCCTCCCGAGTAGCTGTGATTATAGGCACACACCACCATGCCCAGCAAATTTTTGTATTTTTAGTAGAGACAGGGTTTCACCATGTTGGCCAGGCTGGTCTCGAACGTCTGGTCTCAGATGATCCACCTGCCTCAGCCTTCCAAAGTTCTGGGTTTACAGGCGGGAGCCACTGCACCCGGCCCAATACAACTTTTAAAATATGATGAAATATGTAAATTATTCTGAAAAAACTCAAATGACTGACTAGAAAGTAGGTAAAGAATATGAGTATGCACTCATAGAAAAAGAAATGTAGATAATCAATAAACATTTGACAACTTCCCTTGTAATTAGGGAAGTGTGAGTTGTAACTCAGAATTCTAGCCACTCATTTAGCATTAGTTGAAGAGTGGTAACACATAATTTAGAAACTTGTGGGAAACAGGTACTCTGGCATATTATAGGTAAACGGTTTAAAAGAACAATTTGGCAACACCTATCAAAATTTAAAATGCAGGCACCTCTTAACCTGGCAGTGCTACTTTTAGATCTCTTCCTTGTAGAAACTTTTGTGTTTGTGCCAAAGATGGACATAAAAGGTTGCTCACCGTAGCATTGTTTGCAATAGCAAACATAAATAGTAAAAATCCTGAATGTTCCATCATAGCAGCTGGTTAAATAAAAACAAAATAATACAGTACAACAGTTTTATTTGATTTATTTTTTATTTTTGTTTTGTTTTGTTTGACACAAGATGTCATTCTGTTGCCCAGGCTGGAGTGCAGTGGCTCAATCTCGGCTCATTGCAGCCTCAACCTCCTGGGCTCAAGCAGTCTCCACACCTCAGCCTCCTGAGTAGCTGGGACCATAGGCATGCCCCTGTAACCACCACGCCTAACTAATTTTTTGTAGAGATAGGGTTTTGCCATGTTGCCCAGGCTGGTCTCGAACTCCTGAACTCAAGAGGCAGGAGAATCACTTGAACCCAGGAGGCGGAGGTTGCAGTGAGCTAAGACTGTGCCACTTTACTCTAGCCTGGGCAACAGAGCGAGACACTGTCTCAAAAATAAATAAATAAATAAATAAATAAAAGGTATTCAACATCATTAGTGATCAGGTATGAGCCACTGCACCTGACCAGCAGTTTTAAAAATGAGATTTGGTTCTATGTACTAAGCTGGAAAGATCTCTGAGGTATAATGTTAAGTGAAAAAAAGCATGTTGCAGAGCAGTGACATATTTTATTGTTTTGCTTATGTAAAAACAAATACTTCCCCAACAGAAAAACACCAAAACTATGTATTACTGAGAGTTGCATACCAAATTGTTCACGTCAGTTTTCTATGATGAGATGAATCAGATTGGTATATGAGGATTCACTTTGTAAAACATTCAAGACACAAAGTGTACAGGATATAAGAAGAATATATTAGTATTTTAATTGTTTAATTTTCAAGATAAAGAAAGCATAAATCATGGAGAAAAACTGGGTAAAAATAAAATTTCCAATTTTTTTCTTCATTTCCAGGGAAGCAAGATAATGAAATATAAACAAACAAGAAAACATACCTGGCTGTTCATGCACAGTTGTTATAAAAGCAGTGAGCAGTGAGTTAACTATTTACATATAAGATGGGAAGAACAGAGATGATTGTTTAGAATTCACATATATTGTACCCACGACTGGCTTTATTGTCAGGAAAACAGTGGGGTTCAGCAGAAAGAAAAAGTTCAGAGTCAGGGTACCTGCTCACTTAGGTTCTGATGATGTTAATCTTTACTTAGCTTTGTGATCTTGGGCAAACTACATCTATTTAGCTCTTGGTTTCTTCTTCTTTGTCATCTATCAGTCATCTATCATGTCTAAATTCTGAGTCTGAATCCAAGGAAAATAAGAAATAAGTTATAATATGAAAGCAGCATCTTTGACGTAAGCTGCATTATTGGGTCTGCTGAGTCTATGCGTCTTCTAAAGGTAGAACTTACAAAGTCATTGGTGACCACATGCTCAGGTAGACCTGGGGGTTAGAGGGCAGTGTCATTGCTGGGTATGGTATATGTTTGAAAAAATTTATTTCTTTTTCTTTTTGTAGATAAGAGTCTCACTCTGTCACCCAGGCTTGAGTGCAGTGGTGCAATCAATGCAGCCTGGAACTCCTGGGCTCAAGTGATCCCCCCACCTCAACCTCCTAAGTAGTTGGGACTTCTGATGCACACCATCATGCCTGGCTAATTTTTTTATTTTTAGTTTTTGTAGAGATGAGGTCTTGCTGTGTTGCTAAGGCTAGTGTTGAATGCCTGGCCTCCCAGAGTGTTGGGATTACAGACATGAGCCACTGTGCCCGCCCTTTGAATATTTTTATTAAAAGGAAAAAAGACAGCCAGGCGTGGTGGCTCACGCCTGTAATCCCAGCACTTTGGGAGGCCAAGACAGGTGGATCACCTGAGGTCAGGAGTTTGAGACCAGCCTGGCCAACATGGAGAAACCTGTCTCTACTAAAAATACAAAATTAGCCAGGCGTGGTTGCGCATGCCTGTAATCCTAGCTACTCAGGAGCCTGAGGCAGGAGAAACGCTTGAACCCGGGAGGCAGAGGTTGCAGTGAGCCAAGATCGCGCTGTTGCACTCCAGCCTGGGCAACACGAGTGAAACTCTGTCTCAAAAAAAAAAAAAAAAAAAGAAGGAAAAAAGACTGGCTGGATACACAACAAACTCATAGTGGTGACCTCTGGGGGGTGAGGATCAATGATGACTTTAGGTTTTTATGTAATATTCCTTTTTTTCCCTCAAAATAGACAGTAAATATTCAACATACATAATTTTAAAAAGCAGTAATGTAGAAAAAAGCAAATATGCCAAAATATTAACAGTGGTTAATTCCGGCTGCTGGGAGTGTGGGTCATTGTGGGTTTTTTAATACTTACTAGGTTTTCTTTTTTTTAATTAAAAGGTAAATAATTAAGTGACACGTTTCATGGTTCATTGATGAATAAAAAACTATCTTCTGGTTAATAATTAAATTTGGGAAGCAGAAAATACACAAAGGAAAGGAAGAATTGAATTTAGTTTCACCATTTGATAATAAAATAAGAAACACTAATTAGGACAGTGTTTATCTCTGGGAAGAAGGTCTTTCTACATTTTATATGCTTGCACTTTCTTTGGATAACATAGTTGTGGAAAGGAAACTTTTCAGTATTGTCTTGGCTTTGTACAGCAGTAGTTGGGGAGCTGTTTTTTTCTTGGTCACCTGACCTTTTCATGCTTTTGTCACTTGCTGGTTGTAACTTTGAAAACCAAAGAGCTCTGGGTAACCTTGGCAGTAAAGCAGCCTACTGTCTGATGGGTTGGGAAGTGGGCCACAGGACCAACTCAATGAACTATTTCTAGTGCAGAGAATGATTGCAAGATCAGCCTTCTATTAAACATGAAAAAGTGGGGAGAGGCAGGCAATCTTCATTGCCCAGAAAAAGTTTTTCTGACTTTAATCTTGATCGTCTTGCTGTTTCAGCCTTGCTGCTTCTAAGACTTTCTTTCCTCTCACCCCCGTATTTTTATTATGAAAATGTTCAAACCATACATAAAATGTGAGAGGCCAGGCGTGGCACCTCACACTTGTAATCCCAGCACTTTGGGAGGCCAAGGCGGGCAAATCACCTGAGGTCAGGAGTTCGAGAACAGCCTGGCCAACATGGTGAAACCCTGTCTCTACTAAAAATGCAAAAATTAGCTGGGCATGGTGGCACACGCCTGTAATCCCAGCTACAGGGAGGCTGAGGCAGGAAAATCACTTGAACGCAGGAGGTAGAGGTTGCAGTGAGCCAAGATCGTGCCACCGCACTCCAGCCTGGATAACAGAATGAGACTTCAAAAAAAAAAAAAAAAAGTGAGAGAATAGTACAATGAATATTTGCTATACCCACCAGATAGATTCCACAGTTTTTAACATTTTGCCGTATGTGGTTTATCTTTTTTCTTCTTCTCAATCTGTCTTCTTTTATGTCAAACCTTTTTGAAGTAAGCTGCAGACATTGTGACATTTCACTTCTAAATATTTCCTTATGCATCTAAAATAAAGGACATCCTACTACATAACCATGATAACATTGCCATACCTAAGAAAATTAACAGTAGATCCCTAATGGTATCAAATACATAGTCCATATTCAAGTTTTCTCAGATGTCTCACAGATGTTTCCATTTTTCTTTTTTTTTTTTTTTTGAGATGGAGTCTTGCTCTGTTGCCCAGGCTGGAGTACAGTGGCGTGATCTTGGCTCACTGCAGCCTCTGCCTTCCAGGTTCCAGTGATTCTCCTGCCTCACCCTCCTGGGTAGCTGGGATTACAGGCGCACGCCATCACGCCAGGCTAATTTTTGTATTTTCAGTAGAGACAGGGTTTTGCCACGTTGGCCAGGCTGGTTACGAACTCCTGACCTCAGGCAATCCTCCCGCCTTGGCCTCCCAAAGTGTTGGGATTACAGGCATGAGCCACCATGCCTGGCCTGTTTTTCTTTTCTAAAAAAAATTTAAAGTTCATAGATTGCATTTTGTTGTTATTCTTTAATCCCTTTTACACTGTAAGAATTTTCCCTCTCTGTTGTTTTTGTTTTATATAATGCTGACTTTTTAAAAACTATTTCTCTTTTTTTTTTGGTAGAGACAGGGTCTTGCTATGTTGCACATGTTGGTCTCAAACTCCTGACCTCAGTTGATCCTCCCACCTCAGCCTCCCAAAGTGTTGGAATTACAGGCATGAGCCACAATGCCCAGCTGACTATTTTTAACTTCTAAAAAAATTTTTAAAATTGGCCAGGTGCAGTGACTCACACCTGTAATCCAGCACTTTGGGAGGTTAAGGTGGGCAGATTGCTTGAGCCCAGGAGTTTGAGACCAGCCTGGGCAACATGGTGAGACCCATCTCTACAAAAAAAAAAAATAGAAAAATTAGCTGGGTGTGGTGGTATGCACCTGTAGCCCCAGCTACTCAAGAGGCTGAGGTGGGAGAATCACCTGAGCCCAGGAAGTTGAGGCTGCAGTGAGTCGTGATCAAGCAACTGCACTCCAGCTTGAGCAACAGAGTGAGACCTGTGAAACCTCATCTCTACTAAAAATATGAAAAAATTAGCTGGGTTGGGTGGCGGGCGCCTGTAATCCCAGCTACTTGGGAAGCTGTGGCAGGAGAATCACTTGAGCCCAGGAGGCAGAGGCTGCAGTGAGCTGGGACTGCACCATTGCACTCCAGCCTAGGCAACAAGAACGAAACTCTGTCTCAGAAAAACAAAACAAAACAAGAAAAATACACATGCCATAAAATTTACCATTTTAACTACTTCTAAGTGTACAATTCTGTGGCACTAAGGACATTCACATTGTTAAACTAAAATCACCACCATCCATCCACACAACCTTTCATCTTGCAAAACTGAAGCTGTACCTATTAAACAATAACTCCCCATTCCCTCTCCCATCCAGCACCTGGCAACCACCATTCTATCTACCTTCTGTCTCTGTGAAGTTGACTATTCTGGGTACCTCATAAAAAAGTAGAATCATACAGAATTTGTACTTTTATGGCTGGATTTCACTTACCATAATGTTCTCAAGGTTAATCCATATTGTAGCATGTGTCAGAATTTCCTTTTTAAGGCTAAATAATATTCCATTGTGTGTATGTATCACATTTTGTTTATCACTTTGGGTTGCTTCCACCTTTTGGCTGTTGCAAATAGTGCTTCTATGAAGATGGGTATACAGGTATCTCTTTCAGTCCCTGCTTTCAATTCTTTGGAATTTATACCTAGAACTGGAATTTCTAGGTATCTTTTTCAGTCCCTGCTTTCAGTTCTTTGGAATTTATACCCAGAACTGGAATTTCTAGATCATGTGGTAATTCTATTTTTAATTTTTTAAGAAACTGCCATACTGTTTTCCATAGTGGTTGCACCATTTTACATTCCCACCAGTAGTGCACAAGGGTTCTAATTTCTCCAAATCCTTGATGGCACTTGTTATTTTCTAGTTTTTTGATAGTAGCCATACTAATGGATATTAAGTAATATTTAATTATGGTTATGATTTGCATTTCTCTAATGATTAGAGGTGTTGAGTTTCTTTTCATGTGCTTGGCCATTTGCATATCCTCTTCAGAGAAATGTTCTTTGCCCTTTTCTTTTCTTTTTTTTTTTTTTTGAGACAGAGTCTTGCTCTGTTGCCCAGACCAGAGTGCAGTGGCGTGAACACATCTCACACTGCAGCCTCAACCTCTTGGGCTCAGATGATCCTCTTACCTTAGCCTCATGAGTAGGTGGGACCGCAGGCACATGCTACCACATCCGGCTAATTTTTTTTTTTTTTTTTTTTTTTTTTTTTTTTACTTTTTGTAGAGACAGGGTCTCCCTGTGTTGCCCTGGCTGGTCTCAAACTCATGGGCTCAAGAGATCCCCCACCTTGGCCTCTCAAAGTGCTGAGATTACAGGCATGAACCACCTGCCTGGCTTCATTGCCCATTTTCGAATAGGAATTTTTGGTGATGGTTGTTGAGTTATATAGATGGGTTGTCTTTTTACTCTGTTGCTTGTGTCATTTGATGCACAGAAGTTCTAAATTTTAAATGTCCAGTTTATATATTTTTTTATTTGTTGTCTGGGCTTTTGGTGACATTTTCAAGAATTCATTGCCAAATCGAATGTCACAAAGATTTTCCTTTGTGTTTTGTTATAAAAGTTTTATAGTTTTATGTTTATGTTTAGGTCTTTGATACATTTTGAGTTAATTTCTTTATATGGTGTACGGTGAGGTCCAACTTCATTCTTTAGATATCTAGTTTTCCCAGCACCACTTGTTTGAAAGACTATTCTTATTGAGTGGTCTTGACATCCTTGTCAAAATCATTTGACCAGGTATGTGAGGGTTTGTTTCTGGTCTCTTTATTCTGTTTCATTGGTCTGTATATCTGTCTTATGCCAGTATCCCACTGTTGATGACTGTAGCTTTGTAATAAGTTTTAAAATCAGGAGTGTGAGTTCTACAGCTTTAATCTTTATCAAGATTGTTTTGGATATTCAGAGTCTCTTGAGATTCCATATAAATTTTAGAATGGATTTTTCTACTTCTGTAAAAAACATCATTGGGATTTGAGAAGGGATTACACTGAATGTGTAGATTGCTTTGGGTAACATTGACAGCTTAACGATATTGTCTACCAATGCATGAACAGAGGGTATCTTTTCATTTATTGCTGTCTTCTGTAATTTCTTTCAGAAATATATGAGTGGTCCAGTTTCTCTGAATTCTCAGTTTGGTAGTCACTGTTTTTCATTTTATCCATTCTAATAGAGGTATAGTAATATCTCATGGTTTTAATTTGCATTTCCATAATGGATAATGATGTCGAACATGTTGTCATAGGGCTTCTCTGCCATTTCTGTATCCTCTTTGACAAATTGTTTCTTTATACCTTTTGCCCATTTTCTAATTGGATTTTTTTTTTTTTACCATTGAGTTTTGAGAGTTCTTTATGTATCCACATATGGTTCTTTTTCAGATATGTGGTTTGCAGATATTTTCTCCCAGTCAGTAGCTTGTCTTTTCATTCTCTCAACAGAGTCTTTCATAGAGCAAAACTAAAATTGTAATGAAGTCCACATTATCATTTTTTTTCCCTATGGATCACACTTTTTGGTGTCAAGTGTAAGAACTCTTCACCAAATCCTAGGTCCAGAATATTTTCTTCTGTTTTCTTCCAAAGATTTTATGATTTTACATTTTCCATTTAGATCTATGCTTTAATTTGTATATAATGTGTAAGGTTGAGGTTTACATTTTTGCCCGTAGATATCCAGTTATTCTAGCCCTACTTATTGAAAAGACTATCCATCCAACATTGAATTGCTTTTGTGCCTTTGTTAAAAATTAGTTAGTTGTACTTGTGTGGGTCTGCTTCTGGTTACTCTATCTGTTCCATTGACTTATGTGTCTGTCCCTTAGCCAGTACCACTCAGTCTTGATTACTTTAGCTATGCAGTAAGTCTTGACATTGGGTAGAGTGATTCCTCCCACTTTTTCTTTTTCAAAACAGTTTTAAGCTATTGTAGTTCCTTTGCTTTTCCTTATGAGTTTTATTTATTTTATTTTTAAGAGATGAGGTCTCACTATATTGCCCAGGCTGGCCTCGAACTCCTGAACTCAAGTGATCCTCCCATCTTAGCCTCCTAGTAGCTGAGACTAAGACCTGTATCACTGTTCCTGGCTTATGTAAATTTTAGAATAATCTCTTCTACATCTATAAAAAATACTGGATTTTCATAGGGATGTGTTAAACTTACCACATTAGGGAAAATTGATATCAGTACTATGTTGAGGTTCCTAATCCATGAACATGGTATGTCTTACTATTTATTTAGATCTTCTTTAATTTCTTTAATCAGTGTTTTGTAGTTTTTAACATGTAAGTGCTGTGTATGTTTTATTAGGTTTATAACTAGGTATTTAATTTTTAAGAGATTATAAATGGTATTGTATTTTAAATTTTGGTTTTCTATAAAGTTACAATTGTCCCATCACTTTGGAAGGCCAAGGTGGGAGGATCACTTGAAGCTAGGAATTCAAGACCAGCCTAGGGAGGCAACAAAGTGAGACCCTGTCTCTCCAAAATTTTTTTTCAAAATTAGCTTGTGTGGTGGCATGTGTCTGTAGATCCAGCTACTTGGGAGGCTGAGGTAGGAGGATCGCTTGAGCCCATGAGTCCGGGAGTTAGAGACTGCAGTGAGCTATGATCACACCACTGCACTCCAACCTGGACATCAGAGCAAGACCCTGTGTCTAAAAAAAAAATTACAATTGATTTTTATATGTTGATCTTGTATCTTGAAGCCTTGTTGAACTCACTTATTAGTTCTAGGAATTTTGGTAGAATCCTTAAGATTTCCTACAGAGACCATCATGTCATCTACAAATAGGACATATCTGCAAATAGGAACAGTTTTCTTTCTGTCTTTTCAGTCTATGTGTCTTTTACTTCCTTTTATTGCCTTATTCTGTTGGCTAGAACTTCCGGTATTATGTTAAATAGGAATAATGAGAGTAGACATGCTCATCTTCTTCCTGACCTTAGAGGAAAAACATTCAGACTTTGACCATTATGTGTAATTACAAACTTTGCTTGGTGGGTTTTTTAAATGATCTTTATCAAGTTGAGGAAACTATTTCTAGTTTTCTGAGTGGCTTTTTTTCTGTTTTTTTAATTGATGCATAATAGAGACACACATTTTCAGGGTACATTCATATAATTTATAAAGATCAAATTAGTGTAGTTGGGATATCCATCAATTCTGAGTGTTTTTATTATGAATGGGTGTTGACTTTTATTAAGTGATTTTTCTGCATCAGTTTTTTGGTTGTGTGATTTTTCTTCTTTAGCCTGTTAATATGAGGGATTACATTGATGGATTCATGAATAATGAACCAGCCTCGAGTATCTCTGTGATAAATTCCACTTGGTCCTAGTGTATAGTTGTTTTACATGTTGCTGAATTTTACTTACTGTATTTTGTTAAGGGTGTTTACATTTAATTAAAAAAAATTTTCCCAGGTGTGGTAGTGCATGCCTGTAATCCCAGCTACTCAGGAGGGCTGAGGAGGGAGGATTGCTTGAGCCCAGGAGTTCGAGTCTAGCCTAGGCAACATTAATGAGACCCCATCTCTTTAAAAAAAAAAAAAAAAGGCAGGATGTTTACATTTATATTCATGATGGATTTTGGTTTGTAGGTTTCTTTCTCTTTTTGATACTTTTTGTTTTTGACTGATGATTAAAGAGGAAACACTCAGATAGTGTCCTCTCCCTCTTACTCTCCCAGAGGAAGAAAACAGTCATCAGTGACGAATGGCAGTTGCAGCAAAGCAACATCAAAAACCAGCTTTATGCTCAGGAGAGACCACTGTGCCTCCTTCTGTGGTTTCTAGTGCTCTACTCATTCAGAGAGACCTCTCTAATAATGAACTACAGAAATGATCCCTGAAAGTATAGTCTTTGGTACTATCTTTGTCTAGTTTTGATATCACATGGAAGACTATGAAACTCTTCATGGAAGATAGTGATGAAGAGCGCCAAGTCATGGAATGAATGAGTTGGGGCATAGGAACGTCAAAAAGAATCCAGCAGGGCAGCCTGGTGTGGTGGCGCATGCCTGTAATCCCAGCACTTTGAGAGGCTGAGGCAGGTGGATCACTTGAGGTCGAGTTCAAGACCAGCCTGGCCAACATGGTGAAACCTTCTTACTAAAAAGTACAAAAATTAGCCAGGCATGGTGGTGTACATCTGTAATCCCAGCTACTTGGGGGACTGAGGCATGAGAGTCGCTTGGACCCAGGAGGCGGAGGTTACAGTGAGCCAAGATTGTGCCACTGCACTCCAGCCTGGGCGACAGAGTGAGAGTCCATTTCAAAAAAAAAAAAAAAGAATCCAGTGGGGCAAAAGAATTCAGGAATTAGTGAAGAGAAATAGTGTAGTTTGGCTGTAAATACAGTTTTGAGGTGAGAGTAAGGCAGTGTACTGGAGGAGATTCAGTAAGGGATGGGGATGATGCCTGGCTTCATAGGTGGAAGAATTAGTGTAGTTGGTTTGTAGAGGCTCTTAGTTAATAATGATGTAGTAGGACTGGGATTATATTGACTGTAGAGAAAGTATTAAATATAAGAGTGTTAGGAAGCTGGGCGCGGTGGCTCACACCTGTAAGGCATGAGGCGGACGGATCACCTGAGGTCAGGAGTTCGAGACCAGCCTGGCCAACATGGCAAAACTCCATCTCTGCTAAAATACAAAAATTAGCCGGGCGTGGTGGCACACACCTGTAATCCCAGCTATTCGGGAGGCTGAGGCGGGAGAATCACTTGAACCTGGGAGGCAGAGGTTGCAGTGAGCCAAGATCACTGTACTTCAGCCTGGGCCACAGAGCCAGACTCCATCTCAAAAAAAAAAAAAAAAAAAAGTGTTAGGGAATGAGTATTAGAGGCAGATCCTGGACCTGGAGATGATGAGGAGACCAGGTGGAAGAATCAGTCTTGAGCAGGAAATCGGGCGCCTCTCTCTGGAGCTTCTGGGAAGGAGGGGATGGGCATGGAGAGAATGGGGTCCTTAGAAGTAATGTGAATGTCTGAGAGTGCCTCACATTTTGCTTGAGCAAACGGCTGTCCCTAGGGCTGAAGGAATAATAGGTCTACACAGAAATGGAAGCAAGTATTCTCTGCTGACACTCCCTATATGGATAGCTGTGAGGATGAATTAGAGCTTTGTTTAGGTTCTCAGGCCAGTTTGGGGGTTTAGTTTGCATTTGTTTTTGAGACAGACTGATGAGGACCACAAGTGGGGTGATCAGTATGGAAACTCTTATTTGAAAAATCTTCAAAACATGAAAAGTCATTGGAAGTTCTTGGAGTCAGCTGCTGAGTCTTAATCCTTTCCACCATTGACCATGAGAGAGGGACTTTGGCTTCATCCTCTGTTGAGGAGTTCGTAATCAGCAGGTCAGACTTAGTCTTCAGACCAGTTCTGCACAACCTCTTCCAGAAAATAAAAGAGAAAGGAACCTTCCCAATCCATTTTATGGTTCTGATACCAGAACCAGACAAGAATCAATTTCCATCCCCAGCAAAGTCATTCCTCTTCCTCATGACTCCATTGTGGGACACAGGATGCTGCTCTTCTCATGGGGCTGTCCTGGCACTCAGGGGACCATTTTCTGTTCTTGTTGCAGCTGCAGTCGACTTCGGCAGGTTCAGAGCATCCTGACCCAGAGCAGCAAGTCTCGGCCGGATGGGATCCTCTGCATCCTAGGTCAGTGCTTTTAACAAGGTGGGACTCAGGGCTTGGGCAACTTGGCTTTTTTTGTTCACAGGAAGGTATTAGTAATAGTAGCAATGTGAAATAAGCTGTGAGTTGGTGTCCTCCTAGTTCTTGTTCCCCCGAAATTTGTTGCTGTTTTAATGAGGTTAGATGAGCTATCAGTGAGATAGGAAGCCCATTTTTGGAGCTACTTCTGCCTTAAGCCCTTCTTTTAGCCTCACATATATAGCTGCCTCCTGCCATGACATGTCCCTCTTGCCCAGAGCCATACTCTGAGACTTCACAGACATCAGGACCTAGGTAATAAATATATACCTAAAGCATTGAGAGATGGTAGTGAAGACAGTATTGTTTAATTTCCTTTTTATTTGTCTCTAATTCAGCTCCTCTAGACTGTAAGCTTCATGAGGGTCATTTGCAGGCATGTTCACCACCATACCCCAGCATCTAGTACAGTGCTAGACCTTGAGCCTCATAATTGTAAAGTGATGGGTGTTTGTGGTTCCACTCACTTGTCCTCTTCTTCACATTATTGGGTTCTTGTCAAGCCACCTTAATCTGCCTTTGTTTGATCCCAAGTGTTTTGGTAAAGATCTCTTTGAAAGGTGAAGATTTTTCTGACCCCTATTCTTAAGCTAACTGAAAGCATTCCAAGATGAATCCTTTTCAGAAATTAACAGGCTCCATAATCTGTGCTGTTTGATTATCTCAATTACAAGACGTTGGAATTCAAGTAAAGGTACTTGATGCTGAGACCTGTTTCTTTCACAGAATTGGTTAGCTTGGTTTCTGGCACAAAACTGGTCTGAGCTGCGTCCTTCAGCTTGATCATCAGGGTTTTGCTAAGCAGGGGCAAATTATTGGCTCATTTGCTCCCTGTAGTATGGTACAGCTGATCAGAGCCTCCTTTGCCTTGCAGGAATCGATAGCAGGTACAATGAAGGCTGCAGAGAGCTGGCAAATTATCTTCTATTTGGTTTGTACAATCAGAATACCAGTGATTTTGAGAAAACGGGATTTTCTGAAGAAGTACTAGATGGTAAGTATATATTGGTAAACTCTGTGTGATAGAAGAGTAAGAGGTTTATTTATTTGGATCCTTATTTTATGGTCTTCTTATGGAATAAAATTTAAAATAGTCCAAAGCCCCAGTAAACGTTTGCTTTTTAAAGAATGAAAAAAACGGCATTTTTTCTTTGCTGATATATTTAGTAGCAACAAGTAGTTTTCAGAGTATATTTACTAATTCAGCTTTAGAGAAACAAGTAAACATCAGTGTTTGGCTTTATCTCTGTTTGGCAAAGTACTGGTTTTCCTCTTCATTGACCATTGCCTCTACATGCTAACGGTTCAGATTACATGGTGTTGTCCTGTGAAAGCACCTTCAGTTGTGAGGTAAGGATGGGCCTGCAGGCAGCTCCTACAAGGAAGATTTCTTGTGGCTTATCAGCTGAGGAACAAAGGCTCTTTGTCCTGCTGTCTTTGGGAATTATTTTCTCTGTGACTTTAATTCATGAAGATGCCTGTGACTACAATGCTGGATTTCTGTTTATATTCCCCTCTCCGTAGCACTGAGACACTCTGCCTGTGTTGATGCTGCTGGGGGCTATTGCCCAGGAGCTATCTCTGATATCACATATTTAGAATCATGTCTTGTATGCCAGATGGGTCAGGAGACACTGGAATAGACAAAATAAAAGTGGACAAGAGACAGACAGCTCTTGTGAGGCAGCTGGGGGAGGCATGAAAACAAACATCTGATGTGAAATAATATTGCTATGTGTCTAGTGCAGTAGTTCCCAACTGGGGGCAGTTTTGTCCTGCAGGGGACATTTGGCAATGTCTGAAGACATTTTTGATTGTCAAAACTGGGTAGGGGATGCCACTGGCATCTAGTGGATAGAGGCCAGAGATGATGCTAAACATCTACAATGCACAGAACAGTCACCTAGAACAAGGAATTCACTGATCTAAACTGTCAGTAGTGCCGAGGTTGAGAAATCCTGGTCTGGTATATATGAAAATTCTTCTCTGGTTAAGTCCTTAGTAGTGTTTATTCTTATAGACTGATTAAAGCTTTCCTTTTTATTAGGAAGTGCAAAAAGAGTAGACTGAAATTACTCCTTCCATTACAATTTTTTCCATTCAAATTTGGTTTCAGATTTTGATTACAAAATATTTTTTTCCTTACGCTATACAACATCTGCTGGTTTAGAAAAAAGCAATCTTGGCAGCTCATACCAGCCACACGTTTCACCTCAGCCCAGATTGCTAAGGACATTACAGTACTGAAATTAAGGAAATAGTTTAAATTCTTAAAGGTGTGCTTTTTTGCTTATTTTTGTTTTCATCTTTTCTTTTTGAAACAGAGTCCTGCTCTGTTGCCCAGGCCGGAGTGCAGTTGTGCGATCTTGGCTCACTGCATCCTCCACCTCCTGGGTTCGAGATTCCTCTGCCTCAGCCTCCCGAGTAGCCGGGATTACAGGCATGCACCACCATGCCCAGCTAATTTTTGAATTTTTAGTAGAGACAGGGTTTCACCATGTTGGCCAGGCTGGTCTCGAACTCCTGACCTCAGGTGATCCCGCCTTGGCCTCCCAAAGTGCTGAGATTACAGCTGTGAGCCACCACGCCTGGCCTGTTTTTATCTTTTTACCTGGCACAGTGGGTGCCTAGGAAATGAGCATTTTCCTACAAATTAATAAATTTGTTTATACAAGTAGTTGGAAAGCAGAGATCACCAAATTTCTACATTTTGATCTCATATGAGAGGGGGAAAGGCCAACATGAATTTACTTCTAAAAGCAACTTTTATTTATTTATTTATTTTGAGACAGAGTCTCGCTCTATCACCCAGGCTGGAGTGCAGTGGTGTGATATTGGCTCACTGCAGCCTCTGCCTCCTGGTGGAGTCTCCTGCCTCAGCCTCCCGAGCAGCTGGGATTACAGGCACCCGCCACCATGCCTGGCTAATTTTTGTATTTTTAGTAGGAAAGGGATTTCACCATGTTGGCCAGGCTGGTCTTGAACTCCGCTTGCCTTGGCCTCACAGTGTTGGGATTATAGGCATGAGCCACCGCACCAGCCTAAAAGCAGCTTTTAAATAGGTTACGTATTCATCCCATTCTCATATGCTTTCCTCTTTTACCTGACTGTAAACTCTGTTAAACTTTGGTTCATAGTGATAACACCAGAGTTCTAAGAGATTTGGGGAATGCTTACTTTAGGTTTAGTAACTACTATGTTATGTCTCTTACGGGATCCTAATTCTTTGAGGCATGTTACATTTTACTGTAGAGTATAATACACACCAGAAGCCCTCAGTCTTCAGGTAATAGCCAACTCTCATTCCTCTGCAGGTGGTCTACGAATGACTCAGGGAAGGGCTCTTGGAGGGAGTGTGTGAGAAGGACCAATATGCTGAGAGATGAGAGGGGCCTCCATTCCACCTTTTGCTACCCTTTGACTCTTGTGCTTACCTAAAGAGTCAATAGTGATGAGGCTGCTACATCCTGTGTTCCCTGGAACACCCTGGGCCTTACAGGCATGGGGCTTAGAGTGGCTTAAAAGGTCAGACCCATGGAGTTTTATTTCAGGAGGCCACTCAGCTGTGTGGTCAGATGTGGTCAGTATTTATTGGGCTTATAAGATGTTTTTGTCAGGTGTGGTCTGTCACACTGTATTACCCTTTTGACGTTGTCCTACACCTGCTGCATCAGGTGTTCTCTGCCCCTATGCGTGTGCCTTTCTTACCTCTGACAGCATCTAGTTCCATCTTGTTAGGAGGCCTAATGGCTCTTGTTTCTGAGGAGCCATAGAATGGGGCCTCTGGTTTTCTTCTGGAAGTATGACTGCCTTTGTCCTCAGTTGTCAAACTGCTTTAATATTCTACTCCATCCCATGGCTCTTCCATTTACCTAGGTTTATTTGCATTCTTGGGATTGCTTTATTTACTTCACCCATGAGCATTGAAGACTATTCCTTAAATCTGTAAGCTGCTGATCTATTTATAGAAGCTCTTTCCACTGGCCTCTACTTCCTTCCTCCCAGTCTTTCCTGCGTACAAAGCTCACCACTGCACACAATAACTCTTCCTAAAGGGACAAGCAGTATCGTTGGGCCTGCAGTTGCCTTAGAGCCAGATGAGCCAACAGCTGAGAGCTTTAGACACTGATGTCTGAGGGACAACTAGTCACTGGCCATATTTGGTGCTGTTTCCCTGCCTCAGTGGCCTTAGGCTGTGGGGTTTCCATATGGTATTGACCTCTGCAGTGAAGTACTCAGCTATGTCTGGTCCCATAGATGTGACTATGTGAACACTATGCCTCAGTAGATGGAGGCTGTTCTTTGACTCGTTCTGCAACTGCATTGCCAGACCCAGAGGGCCATGGTAGGGGGAGTATTGTTTGGGGACTAGGAAATTCTTGCTGTCAACATTTGAAAGTTCTAAAGTCACTTTGAAGCTGTAAACCAAAAATAAAATTCTAAGCCCTCCAACCAATTGAATGGACCCCCTTGTTGGCCAAGGGCATTCCAAAGTAAACTTGAAAAACGAGTTCAAGCCAGGATAGGAAGTGGAGGTTGGCAGTGCCTCATTATGTCCTCTTCCTTTTGGAATTCAGGCATAACTGACCAACATTAACATTAAAACAGAGATCTTGGCCAGGTGCAGTGGCTCACACCTATAATCCTAGCACTTCAAGGCCAAGGTGACTGGATCACTTGAGCTTAGGAGTTCGAGACCAGCCTGGGCAACATGGCAAAACCCTGTCTCTACAAAAAAAAAATAAAAATTAGCCAGGCATGGTGGCGCTCACCTGTAGCCCCAGCTTCTTGTGGGGCTGAGGCAGGAGGATTGAGCCTGGGAGACAGAGGTTGCAGTGAACCTATATCATGCCACTGCACTCCAGCCTGGGTGACAGAGTGAAACCCTGTCAAAAAAAAAAAAAGAAAGAAAACAGATCTTAAGACCAACCAAATTGCTGTTGTATAGCAGTAAGGTACATCACATAGCAGATAGCAGACCCTGAAAGAAATCTAAGTATTTTATCCCAAAATATACTCCTTTGACATATTTTTAAATGGTGCTGCAAAGCTGTCTCTTGTCAGAGAAATCTACATTCTGTAGAGAATCCCTTTCACTTTCCAGGTCTTTTCCTGATCCAGGGGAGATCAACTAAGAATCTGGTACCTTTTTAAGTCTGATAAACATTTACCTTCTATTGTTTCTGAAGCCTGCTACCTGGAGGCTTTACTTGCATAATAAGAACCTTGGTCTCCACAACCGCTTATCTTAGCCCAGACATTCTGTTGATTCCAGGTCTGTATTTATTTTTATTTTTATTTTTTGAGACGGAGTCTCACTCTGTCGCCCAGTCTGGAGTGCAGTGGTGCAATCTCAGCTCACTGCAACCTCTGCCTCCCAGGTTCAAATGACTCTCCTGCCTCAGCCTCCTGAGTAGCTGGGATTACAGGTGCGCGCCACCACACCCGGCTAATTTTTGTGTTTTTGTTTTTAGTAGAGACGGGGTTTCACCATGTTGGTCAGGCTGGTCTCAAACTCCTGACCTCGTGATCCATCCGCCTCAGCCTCCCAAAGTGCTGGGATTACAGGCGTGAGCCACCGTGCCCAGCCCTGATTCCAGATCTTTAGGTAATAAAACTTAACTCTTTCAACCAATTGCCAGTCAGAAAATCTTTGAATCCACCTATATGACACGAAAGGACCCTTTCACTCCTGACCCCGACTTTCTGGACCAAACCAAATGTACACTTTACATGTGTTGGTTGATGTCTGCTGGTAACTTCTGTTTCCCTAAAAAGTCTAAAATCAAGCTGTTATCCAGCCATTTTGGGTACATGTTCTCAGGACCTCCTGAGGGTATGTCACAGGCATGTCCTTAAACTTGGCAAAATAAACTTCAAAATTGATTGAGACTTGTCTCAGATACTTTTTGGTTTACAAGGCACAGTGCTTAATTAAATAATTTTCAGTTTAGAGTTTTGTTACATTGTCTCTGAAGTAGTTTCAATGGTTTTACTAATTATGTGGGCAGAAAATATCTAAAAGAAATGTGTTTGACAGTCTTGTGTTTTGATTTTGTTTTTCTTACAGATGTAATTATATTGATTAAATCGGATAGCGTCCATCTGTACTGTAATCCTGTAAACTTTCGCTATCTCTTACCTTATGTGGCACATTGGAGAAATCTGCATTTCCACTGCATGACCGAAAATGAGGTAAGAAGAAAAGAGAAGACAGGCACCTAGAGACACTCTAAGAATACTCTTTAAGGAAAGTGTTGATCTGAAATAGGATCAGCAATCAAATTGCAGAGTGTGACTATATAAAAAAGATTATCTGTTTGAAGTGGAGAATTTCATATTTCGTTTTGAGGCTACCTTATAGATAAATTGTATGCCTGTGGAGACAAAAGGAGGCTGTTCAAATTGGGACCTAGTGGTAAGTTTATGAACTTAACTTTTTGCCTGCTTCTTCATCACCATCCTGAATCCCATCTCTTAGGGGATTAGTGCCTAGGGACTGCCCTGGGATTTTTTTTTTTTTCTGGGACGGAGTCTCACTCTGTCGCCCAGGCTGGAGTGCAGTGGCACAGTCTCGGCTCACTGCAACCTCGACCTCCCAGGTTCAAGCAATTCTCCTGTCTCAGCCTCCCGAGTAGCTGGGACAACAGGCACCTGGCTAATTTTTGTATTTTTAGTAGAGACGGAGTTTTGTTACATTGGTCAGACTGGTCTCAAACTCCTGACTTTAGGTGATCCGCCCACCTCAGCCTCCCAAAGTTCTGGGATTACAGGCGTGAGCCACCATGCCTGGCTCCCTGGGAGAATTTTTTAAGCTTTCTGACATTCCTGTGTTTGAATGTCTTGGTATCTGTTTTTCTTTCCCTTTGGGCCCTTTTCAGGGGTTTGACTGGAAATCAAGTTTGGATTTGAGATTTAGGATTTCATGAAAGTTGTGACCTGATACTGGTCAAGAACACTTCCTCCCATATGAGTATTTGGCGGAATTTTTTGGGGGAAAAGTGTTATCTCTTGCATTTAGGTTTCCTGATCCATTTCAGTTGATTTTTGGGTATAATATGAAATAAGGGCATAACAAGTCTTTCTGACTAGCAAATGAAAAAGGTTGGCTTTGGAAACACCTCCTTGGGTGCAGTCCTCTGTAAATGTCATTTGGGACAACTCTGGTTGACAAAATGCAGAGAAAATATGGGAATTTGTGTGATATCTCATCAGAGCTTATTTTTCTTTTGATTTGTCTCTTCAGTATGAAGATGAAGAAGCCGCAGAAGAATTTAAAATTACCAGCTTTGTGGACATGGTTCGAGACTGTAGTAGAATTGGCATTCCTTACAGCTCCCAAGGTGAGTATCTGACAGCAAGCCTTCTAGAACCTTGCTTAGGTGGTGTGTGAATTGAACGTCACTACTTTTCCTTTCATTGGGGGCATTCAGCTGAGAAACCCCTTCGTCTATTTTTACCAAAGACATCAAGCAGAATTAAGTATGGGGACTTTTCTGTGCAAGCTTGTATTAATTACTGTGAAGTTTCTGCAGCAACACAGCAGGCTGCCCAAAATCAGGTAGAAGAACTGATACAGAATTTAGCACAATTGACATGGCTGTATCACTTACTATACAAAGAGTATAGTATAGATGTTGGGGCATCTTGGTAATAAGAAAGAGGGATTTGGATAACTTCTAAAAAGATATGCTGACATGTTTTTAAATGATGTGTAAAATACAGGGAAAAACTATCAAGTTTAGCAGTGCTTGTATTGCAACAACAAAAAGAAAAAACCTTGCACATTGAAGCTATTGTTAACAAGAAAGGAACATTTTTGATTTAGTAGTTTTCCCTTGAGGAAGTTGATTGGCTGTGTTTCTTAAGGGAAAGGAGCCAACTTTGTGTCTGTTAATAATTATTCCCACTGAATGATGCAAGTCAGATATAATAGACTACTCTTATTTTTTACTTAATTTACTCAGGAAACTGGAATGTTACAATATACTGTAAAGAAATCTGAATGTGACTTGTTTATGGTTTGAATTTTCCTTGACTTTCATTTTGTATTTCTAGTTTCAATATCTAACCATTTTATCTGTTTGTATTTTATTTTGCTAGGTGAGGCCCTGGTGACCACGTGAGAAATGATACCTGTCTAACCATGTTAGGTCAGGTTTAGACTGTTATATTCAGGATGGTATCTGATATGTGTTGTTGTATTTGATTCTTCTAGGTCACTTGCAGATATTTGATATGTTTGTGGTGGAGAAATGGCCAATTGTACAGGCCTTTGCACTTGAGGGCATTGGAGGGGATGGATTTTTTACCATGAAATATGAGGTATGTATGAAAAGCAGTATGCCTAGTTTTTGTCTGCCACTGGGCTGTTTTTATGAAGAACCCATGTGAGTGTGCATTATTATAACACCAAAAAGCTGGCAGTTACCTCACAAGGGCATGGAGCAAGTTAGGAGACTTGAAATGGAAAATAGTTGCTGCTAAAGGCTAGTCCCAGACTGAGGTCCTGTGTCCTTTCTTCTTGGAGTTCTTCTCCGTCCTTCCTCTCCCTTACCCCATTCTCAGCTGACTGTTCTTCCTGTCTGCTCCTGTAGCCCCCTAGATTGACTTTTCCTACAGCTTTTATGATCCTGTTATTACACATTTGTCACACTCACCCACTTGCCCACCAACCCATCCACCCTGGTCTTTGTACTGGAAGCTCCTTAAGTACAAAAACATAACTTGTTGTTGTTTGTACCTCAGAAATTTATATAATTTGAGAACTATTCAAGATCAATGAAAGGGACAGTGCAGAATTTGGATAAGTACAATGTACTAGAGGAATGGAAAGATTAGCTTTTTTGGTAAGAGCAGTGTCTTTTATTTCAGCATTCCTTGCATCTAGAAAATGACCAGTAAATATTTCTTAAGTGAGTCTGGGACAGTGTGTGGTCCAGAGTACAGATTAAGGAAAATGGCTTGATAGGTTAGCAGCATGACCACGAGTATCCATGTGCCTCCATGGGATCCCCACTGAAATGACCTGCCCAGTACAGGAAACCAGGGACGGGGAACATTGTCATGCTAGAAATGGGGACATCCTATTAGGGAGAGAGTAAGTGGGTCCCTTAGAAGCAAGGCACAGAGCTAATTTCTACCCCTCTGAGAAGTACTGGCATCCCTAGCAGATGACTGGAGGCTTGCCTGGGAGAACTATCACATCCTCTGAAATGGAGCAGCATGGGCTGTGGGGCTGAAGGGAAGCATACCACTTGGACTCCACTTTTCCTTTTGCAAAATCACAGTATTCTCACATTGACTACAAGTAGCAGAACATCCACAAAGCTGTGGAAGCTTCCCCTACTGGGAATTAATGCTGTCTAACTTAGAAGAGTAGGGGCTTGAAGGGAGGCAGACCATAGGGGTTAGAGAAGAAACTTAACATTTTTATAATATTAATTAATAATGGTAATATTTATTTTTAATTAATTGTATGAACTAGGTCTGAGTGCCTACTATATGCCAGGTACTTTTCTAAGCACTTTATGTGAATTGACTGATTTCATTCTTATAGTAACCCTCTGAGGTAGGTATAGTAACCCTCTGAGGTACATCCCCGTTCAAGAGCAATTAAATGAATTTCCCAGTTTCACAGAGCTAGTGAGAGGCAGAGCTGGGGCCAGGTCCAGATGGTCTGGTTTCAGAGCCTGTGCTCCTAACCACTGGGCTGCAGCTAGAATCACATTGGAAGAAGTGCACTGGGAGGCCACATAGTTGACATAACCCAAATGAGAGAGGTTTTCTGACCTTAAGGTGCATCACACTATGAAGTCACATTCAAAAAGAACGTTATCTCCTTCCAAAAAACACCTTTGAAAAGTAATGTAGATCTTTACATTAGGATGATGTTTTTAGGAAATGGGATGGGCCATGAAGAAGAAATGGTACACATCATAAAGGAAGAGTTACTATAGGTCTTCTCTAGGTCCCTCTCTCCACATCCTGCCCTTTTCTGTAGCTGCTCACTTTTATTTTCAGATACTTTCCTTCAGGCACATTTCATTCTACCCCACCTCAGTCTTCTTTCCCCTGCCCTTCCCAGTGCTTTGAGGTGTGGAGCAGTTTGGCCTACAGATGGGCTCTGCCAGTGCCCTCTCTACTCCACTCTGATGGCCTGATGACTGCCTGAGCCAGAAAGGCTCTTGCCTCCTTTGCAGGCTAAGAAAAGGAGAGCTATACTTAATAACTTAATTTTTAAAACTTGTGTTGTATTATATGGCCATACCCAGAAGAAAGTCATTAGCCCAGATGTGTTTTGTTCCTCATGTGGTAGGTGCCAGCATGAGAAAGAAAACCAGGCCCAGCCACAGCTTTTACTTGCCATTTATGCTGGGCCAAACTGAGTCATCGATATAGATAATTTTTTCTTCCTGGGAAGCAGTACAGGGAAGTTCCTCTGCTAGGGCGTTTTCTGCCTCTAACTTCCTCCTTCTTACTCTCCCACTGCTGGAACTGTGATCTGGTAATGTAAATTTACATCAATCAGCTCCACAAGGGGAGGATCCTAATAGCAAACCTCTAAATAATGAGTAACCAGTGAGCATTCATTCATCTGTTTATGGACAAATAGATCTTCATATTGAAAGATAGAATAAGAATTAGGAAAAGGGTCAACAAAATGTAAGAAAGAGACCACAACATATTAGATGCAGGGATAGATCAGCATGCTTTAAAAAAAGATTTTCTGCCGGGCGCGGTGGCTCACACCTGTAATCCCAGCACTTTGGGAGGCCGAGGCGGGCGGATCACGAGGTCAGCAGATCGAGACCATCCTGGGTAACACGGTGAAACCCCGTCTCTACTAAAAATACAAAAAATTAGCCGGGCGTGGTGGCAGGCGCCTGTAGTCCCAGCTACTCGGGAGGCTGAGGCAGGAGAATGGCGGGAACCCGGGAGGCGGAGCTTGCAGTGAGCCGAGATAGCGCCACTGCACTCCAGCCTGGGCCACAGAGCGAGACTCCAGTCTCAAAAAAAAAAAAAAAAAAAAAAAAAAAGATTTTCTTCAAGGAACAAAAATAATTGAGAAAATTTCTCTTTTTGGTACTTTTTAGGAACAGAATTTATAAAAAGAGAAATGAGATCTAGCAATGAGGTGAGCAATCAAAATTAAAAAGGGAGATGGAAGACATATAAGAAAAGATTGTAGGAAGTCTCAAAATTTATTAGTAGAATGAAAACTTACATTAAAAAAAGATATAAAAAATCTAATCAGTTGACACACTTGAAAAGCTTTTCCAGAATACAGAGGAAGGGGCCAAGTAGATTAAAGCAATGGGAAGGAAGATGATGAAGTGGAGAATAGAGAATGGAAATTGGTGATATTGAAAGGAAAGAATTAAATTAAAGGTTGTTATGTAATAGTCTGTACCTCCCTCTACCGCTCTCCTCTCCCCTCAAGTGACAGTCAACCAGGCATTTGCAGATGCCACCTCCACCCTAGGAAAAACAAAGAAGAGATTTGGGTGGAGGTTTTGTAAAAAAACTGAAAAGGGCCTGGTGAGTGGCTCACACTTGTAATCAAGCCTAGCACTTTGGGAGGCCAAGGCGGGAGGATCGCGTGAAGCCAGGAGTTCAAGACCAGCCTGGCAACAAAAAAATTTTAAAAAAATTAGTCGGGCACGGCTGGGCGCGGTGGCTCAAGCCTGTAATCTGAGCACTTTAGGAGGCTGAGGCGGGTGGATCATGAGGTCAAGAGATCGGGACCGTCCTGGCCAACATGGTGAAACCCCGTCTCTACTAAAAATACAAAAATTAGCTGGGCATGGTGGCAGGCACCTGTCATCCCAGCTACTCAGGAGGCTGAGGCAGGAGAATCACTTGAACCTGGGAGGTGGAGGCTGCAGTGAGCCAAGATCATGCCACTGCACTCCAGCTGGACGACAGTGTGAGACTCCATCTCAAAAAAAAAAAAATTAGCGAGGCACAGTGGCATGTACCTACAGTCCCACCTACTTGGGAGGCTGAGGCCGGAGGATAGCTTGAGCCCTGGAGCTCCAGGCTGCAGTGGGCTGATTGAACCACTGCACTCCAGCCTGAGCAACAGAGTGAGACACTGTCTCAAAATAAATAAATAAAAATGAAATAAATAAACTGAAAGGCAAGACAAAACCAAGAGATTTCATTGGCTAGTGTAGTTTTTGCTTCCTGAGAGTAAACCTGTTCACATTTTGGCATGTAGAATATAAGGGGATGGAGACCCAGTAATAGAAGCTCTGCATAACAGTTATCAGGAATATACACCTTCCAGTTAGCCTTTTCATTGCCTCATTTCAAAGTATGAATAGGAAGCCAAAGATCACCAGACATTTGATTAAACAGCAGTAACTCAAAAGAAAAAGATCAATTTTTTTTTTTAAAAGAAGACCAGTTCATTAAGACCCAAAGATAATTTAAGGTATAGAAGAAAACTTGACATAAAACTCTTTTTGGATGCCCAGAAAAATGTAAGATTTGTCAACCATAGGACAAGTGAATGTTGTAATAACTGAATGTATGGAAAATACGAGCTCTAGGAAATCATAATTGATAAAATCAATAGAGGGGTGGAAGGTAAAGTTAGGAAACTCCTTAGAAAGGTAAAATAAAAACATCACGGAGATAGAAAATATTGATAAAAAAGTTAAAAGACTTTAACCTTTAAAGTTAACTTTAGGCCGGGCTTGGTGGCTCACACCTGTAATCCCAGCACTTTGGGAGGCTGAGGCAGGCAGATCACTTGAGGTCAGGAGTTCAAGACCAGCTCGGTCAACACAGCGAGACCCCCGTCTCTACTAAAAATAGAAAAGTAGCCGGGTGTGGTGGCACACGCCTGTAGTCCCAGCTACCTGGGAGGCTGAGGCAGGAGAATTGCTTAAACCCAGGAAGTGGGGGTTGCAGTGAGCTGAGATCGCACCACTACACTCCAGCCTGGGCGAAAGAGCGAGACTCCATCTGAAAAAAAAAAAAAAGTTAACTTTAAATGTTAGAAGACTGATCTAAGAAGTCTAATATCCAATGAGTAGAATTTCTGGAAAGAGGAGGCCACGATACCATAAGGGAAGAAATCTTTTTAAAACATAAACATTCCCAATCATAAAGAGAAATAAAAGGTTTTAAATTAAATCACTTAAGTATGAATGGGAAGAGGAAAAAAAACCCTTAAATCTGTCCGTGACATTTCAGACACTAAGGATAAAAGAATATCCTTTTTTTTTTTTTTGAGACAGAGTTTTACTCTCCTTGCCCAGGCTGGAGTGCAATGGCACGATCTTGGCTCACTGCGACCTCTGCCTCCCAGGTGCAAACGATTCTCCTGCCACAACCTCCCGAGAAGCTGGGATTACAGGCATGCTCCACCATGCCTGGCTAATTTTGTATTTTTAGAGAAATGGGGTTCACCTTGTTGGCCAGGGTGGTCCCAAACTCCTGACCTCAGGTGATCTGCCTTCTCGGCTTCTGAAAGCTGGGATTACAGGCGTGAGCCACCTGCACCCAGCCTGGATGAAAGAATATCTTTAAAAGCTTCCAGGATGGCCGGGCGCAGTGGCTCATGCCTGTAATCCCAGCACTTTGGGAGGCCGAGGCGGAGGGATCACGAGGTCAGGAGATCGAGACCATCCTGGCTAACACGGTGAAACCCTGTCTCTACTTAAAAAAAAAAATACAAAAATTAGCCGGGCTTGGTGGCGGGCACCTGTAGTCCCAGCTACTCGGGAGGCTGAGGCAGGAGAATGGCGTGAACCTGGGTGGCGGAGCTTTCAGTGAGCTGAGATCATGCCACTGCACTCCAGCCTGGGCGAAAGAGCAAGACTCTGTCTCAAAAAAAAAAAAAAAGCTTCCAGGAAGTTGGTCAGTAAGTTTGGCCAAAAAAGAAAAAAAAAGGCTTCCAGGAAGAAAAAACAAGTCACCCACCACAAAACAACAAAAACTGGTTCCCAAACCAACAAAAGCCCCCCAAAACAAAAACACAAACTAGGCATCAGGCAGTGAGGAATCCTGATTCCCTGAGAGACGGAAACAATCAATGTGAGCCCCTTGATGGTACTAGCTTATCACTTTGAGAAAGTTTCCAGACACAGCATAGAGAAGAGAGGATCCAGGTGGTGCCCAGCGCACTCCCTGAGTTAGGAGATGCAGCTGGGAGTCTGCGGGGACCAAAGCAGTTAGAGTACTAAAGAGGAAAGAACCGTCCAAAGATTCCCCTTGCCCCAGTCGGTACTCAGCAGAATACTGATCAGTGCAGTCATGTGTGTGGTAACTACTCAAGGTCAAGAGAAACCTATCTGAAAGGATTCGAGGATAGTGCCTGATGTGTGTTCTGGGCTGAGAACAGTGCCTGTTTTCACCAGTTAGACTGGCAAAACACATACAGGCCTATCTTAATTTATTGTGCTTTGGTTTGCTGCACTTTGTAGATATTGCTTTTTTTTTTTTTTAAACAAATTGATGGTTTGTGGCAGCCTGCATCCAGCAAGCCTGTTGGCTCCAATTTTCCAACAGCACGTGTTCACTTTGTGTCTCTGTGTCGCATTTTGGTAATTCTCATAATATTTCAAGCTTTTTCATTTTTATTATATCTGTTATGATAATCCATGATGAGTGATCTCTGATGTTACCATCAGAATTGTTTTGGGGCATCACAAACTGCACTCATATGAGATGATGAACTTAAATGATGTGTGTGTTCTGACTGCTTCACTGACTGGCTGTTCCCTCGTTTTTTGCTTTATCCTGACTTCCCTATTCATTGACCATAACAATATTGAAATTAGGCCAATTAATAACCCTACAATGGCCAATAAAGGTTCAAGTGAAAGGAAGAGTCACAATTCTCTCATTTTAAATCAAAAGCTGGAAATGGTTAAGCTTGGTGAAGGAGGCATGTTGAAAGCCAAGACAGGCTGAAAGCTAGACCTCTTGCACCAAACAGCTAAGTTGTGAATGCAAAGGAAAAGTTCTTGAAGGAAACTAAAAGCACTACTTCACTGAACACAAATTATAAGAAAGTGAAACAACCGTATTGCTGATACGGAGAAACTTTGAGTGGTCTGGATAAAAGATCAACCAACCAAAACATTCCGTTAAACCAAAGCCTAATCCAGAGCAAAGCCCTAACTCTCTTTAATGTGAAGGCTGAGAATGGTGAGGAAGCTGCAGAAGAAAAGTTTAAAGCTAGCAGAGGTTGATTTATGAGGTTTAAGGAAAGAAGCTGTCTCTAAAACATAAAAGTGCAAGATGAAGCAGTAAGTGCTGATGTAGAAGCTGCAGCAAGTTATTCAGAAGATCTGCCTCAGATAGTTGATGAAGGTAGCTACGCTAAACAACAGATTTTCAGTGCTGACAACAGCCTTGTATAAGAAGACGATGCCATCTAGGACTTTCTTTTTTATTTTTATTTTTTTAATTTTTTTTTTTTTTAATTTTTGAGGCAGAGTCTCACCGTGTTGCCCAGGCTGGAGTGCAGTGGTGTGATCACGGCTCAGTGTAGCCTTGACCTCCCAAACTCAAGCCATCCTCCCACCTCAGCCTCCCACCTAGCTGGGACTACAGGGGTACACCACCATGCCCAGCTAACTTTTTTATTTTTTGTAGAAATGGGGTCTCACCGTGTTGCCAGGACTGGTCTTGAACTCCTGGGCTCAAGTGATCCTCCCACCTCGGCCTCCCAAAGTCCTGGGATTACATGTGTGAGCCACAGCGCCCAGCCTCTAGGACTTTCATAAATAGAGAGAAGTCAGTGCCTAGTTTCAAAGGACAGCCTGACTCTCTTGTTAGGGGCCAGTGCAGCTGGTGACTTTAAGTTGAAGCCAGTGCTCATTTACCATTCTGGAAATCCTAGGGCCCTTAGGGATTATGCCAAATCTACTCTGTGCTCTTTAAATGGATCACCAAAGGCTGGATGATAGCACATCTGTTTACAGCATGGCTTACTGAATATTTTAAGCCCACTATTGAGTCCTACTTCTCAGAAAAAAAAAATTCCTTTCAAGTATTACTGCTGATTGACAGGGCAGCTAGACAGCAAAGAGCTCTAATGGAGGTATACAAGAGGATTAATGTTGTTTTCATGCCTACTAACACAACATCCATTCTGCAGCCCATGGATCAAGTCATTTCGACTTTCAAGGCTTATTATTTAAGAAATACATTTTGTTAGGCAATAGATTCCTCTGATGGATCTGGGCAAAAAAAAATTGAAAGCCTTCTCAAAAAGATTCACCAATCTAGATGACATTAAGGGCATTCATGATTCATAGGAGGATGTCAGAATAACAACATTAACAGGAGTTTGCGAGAAGTGGATTCCAGCTCTCATGAATGACTTTGAGGGATTCAAGACTTCAGTGGAGGGAGTCACTGCAGATTTGGTAGAAATAGCAAGACAACTAGAATTAGAAGTGGAGCCTGAAGATGTGACTGACTTGCTGCAATCTTATGTTAAAAACTTCAATGGATGGGGAGTTGCTTCTTATGGATGAGTAAAGAAAGTGGTTTCTTGAGATGGAATCTACTCCTGGTGAAGATGCTGTGAACATTGTTGAAACTTCAACAAAGAACTTAGAATATTCTGCAAACTTAGTTAATAAAGCAGTGGCATGGTTTGAGAGAATTGACTCTAATTTTGAAAAAAGTTCTACTGTGGGTAAAATGCTATCACGGCCAGGCACGGTGGCTCATGCCTGTAATCCCAGCACTTTGGGAGGCCAAGGTGGGCGGATCACCTGAGGTCAGAAGTTCAAGACCAGCCTGACCAATATGGTGAAACCCTGTCTCTACTAAAAATACAAAAATTAGCTGGGCATGGTGGTATGCCCCTGTAATCCCAGCTACTCAGGAGGCTGAGGCAAGAGAATCGCTTGAACCCGGGAGGCAGAGGTTGCAGTGAGCTGAGATCACGCCACTGCTCCCCAGCCTGGGCAACAGAGCGAGACTCCTCCTAAAAATAAATAAATAAATAAATAAATAAATAAATAAAATGTTATCAAATAGTGTGGCATATCACAGAGAAGTCTTTTGTGAAAGGAAGAGTCAGCTGATGTGACAAACTTCATTGTTGTCTTATTTTAAGAAATGGCTGCTGGCATAGTGGATTGTGCCTGTAATCCTAGCACTTTGGGAGACTGAGGCAAGAGGATCACTTGAGACTAGGAGTTCAAGATCAGTCTGAGCAACATAACATTATCCCATCTTTACAAAAACAGATTTTTGTTTTAATTAGCTGGCATCATGGTGCACCTATAGTTCTAGCTACTCTGGAGGCTGAGGCAGGAGGATTGCTTGAGAAGGAAGCAGTCTTTCTGGAGGATTGCTCCAGAAGGTCAAGGCTGCAGTGAGCTATGATTGTGCCACCGCACTCCAGCCTGGGTGACAGAAGGAGGCTCTATTTCAAAAAAAAAAAAAAGAAAAAAGGAAAAGAAGGAGAGAGAGGGAGAGAGAGAAAAGAAGGAAAGGAAAGGAAGGGGAGGGGAAGGGAGGGAAAGGGATTGCCGCAGCCTCTTAACCTTCAGCAGCCAACACCCTGATCAGTCAGCAGGTATCAGCATGGAGGCAAGACCCTCCACCAGCAAAAAGATTGTGACTCACTGAAGGCTCAGTTGATTGTTCGCATTTTTTAGTGATAAAGTATTTTTAAAATTAAGGTGTGTACATTTGATTTTTTTAGATGTGTTATTGCATACTTAATAGACTATGGTGTGTTGTAAACATAACTTTTATATGTACTAGGAAACCAAAATATTTGTGTGACTTGCTTTATTGCATTATTCACTTTATTATAGTGATTTGGAACCAAGCCTGCAATAGCTCTGAGGAATGCCTGTAATTCACTGGGCCCTGGGTAGATCACTCAGGAGGATTTTGTCTCAGTAGCAGGGAAAAATCAACCCTAGACTGAGCAGTGGCTCCAGGCCTTCCTAATAATTCATAAAAGCAGGACCCCAAAGGATCAAACTGTTTTCAAGTTACTTAACTGCTTTCCAGAACAAAGCATAAGAATATTTATAGGAATACAAAAATATTTAGCACCCAGCAAGGTAAAATTCATGGTGTCTGGCATCCAGAGATCATCAGGCTTAAAAAAAGCAGGAAAACACAATTGATAATGAGGTAATCAGTCTTCAAAATTGGCCTAGAATTGACAGAAATGTTAGAAGAAAAGGACATTAAAACAGTTGTTACAACTGCATTTCATATGTTCAAGAAGCTAGAGGAAAGACTGAGCCATAGAAGATACAAAAAAAGGACCCAAAGCTGGGCGCAGTGCCATGTGCCTGTAGTCTCAGCTATTCAGGAGGCTGAGGCAGGAGGATCACTTGCACCCAAGAGTTCAAGGCCAGCCTGGGGAACATAGCAAGACCCCTGTCTCAAAAACAAAAAAAACCCAAATCAACTTCTAGAGATGAAAACTACAATATCTAAGATGAGAAATACACTGGATAATAATGAATGCAATAATTGAGAATTTTTTAAGAGGAAAAATATACTAGATGAGATTAATGGCAGATTGAATAATGCTAAAGAAAAGATGAGTGAATTTGAAGCCATAGCAGTAGAAACTATCCAAGATGAAGTGCAGAGAAAATAAAGAATCCAAAGTCATAGTCATGAGGACAGAATAAAGACATTTTATGTCTTTTTGTTTTGTTTTGTTTTCCTTTTTGTGGAGAACAGGGTCTCTCTATATTGCCCAGGCAGGTCTTGAACTCCTGGGCTCATACTGTCCTCCTGCTTCTGCTTCCCTAAGAGCTGGGATTACAGATGTGAGCCACCATGCCCGGCCAGAATAAAGACATTTTAAAACTAAAAAAAAAAAAAAAAAGAGTTTGCTTTGCATTAATCTTTTTTTTTCTTTTTTTTCGTTTTTATTTTTTAGTTTTTATTTTTTTTGAGACGGAGTCTCACTCTGTCACCCAGGCTGGAGAGCAATGGCATGGTCTCGGCTCACCGCAACCTCTGCCTCCTGGGTTCAAGTGATTATCCTGCCTCAGCCTCCTAAGTAGCTGGGATTACAGGTGTGAGCCACCACGCCTGGCCAGAATAAAGACATTTTAAAACTAAAAACAAAACAAAACAAAACAAAAAAGTTTGCTTTGCATTAATCATTTCCTTTTTTTTTTTTTTTGAGACGGAGTCTCACTCTGTCACCCAGGCCAGAGAGCAATGGCACGATCTTGGCTCACCGTAACCTCCGCCTCCTGGGTCCAAGTGATTCTCCTGCCTCAGCCTCCCGAGTAGCTGGGATTACAGGTGTGTGCCACCACACCTGGCTAGTTTTTGTATTATTAGTAGAGACGGGCTTTCACCATGTTGGCCAGGCTGGTCTTGAACTCCTGACCTGAGGTGATCTGCCCGCCTCGGCCTCCCAAATTGCTGGGATTACAAGCGTGAGCCACTGTGCCTGGCCTGCATTAATCCTTTCTTAGCTGTTGGATAATGTGTTCCATCAAACAAGGGTAGTTAACCAAGAAAGAGGAGACAAGTAACCCGCAGAGCAAAATCCATCAACTGAGAGCTCCAGGATGATGTCAAAGAATGTGAAAGTCCAGCCAGAATGAGGTAGAAGAAGAAAGGGAATTTGAATTTCTGATATGTTTAAGTCAGTGGTTCTCAGTCGGGGTGAATTTGTCTTCTCCTTCCCCCTAGACATTTGACAATGTTTGGAAATATTTTTGGTTTGCATTTGGAGCAGCGGGGGCGGGTGCTATAGGCAGCTAATGAGGGCCTACAATGCACAGGGCAACCCCACAGAACAAAGAAATGTCAAGCCCAAAATGAAAATAGTGTTACTGTTGAGACACCCTGGAGTAGGCAAATTGGATGGGGCTGGTAGAAAAAAAACAGAATTGATTTGTAAAAAAAAAATTATACAGGTGAAAAAAATGAAGCTGTTAGTACTTCTAAGAATAATAATAAGAAAGCAAATTGGAATGTAAAATGTACTTAGCCTGCAGTAAATAATATTTACATGGTTTTAACATTGTAAACAATAATTATTAATAAACCGCTTCAAGCGACAGCAGTGCAAGATGGCAGCCACCACAGGCTCAGTAGTAAAAGTCCCTTGCAATTTCCAACTGTTGGAAGAACTCGAAGAAAGCCAGAAAGGAGTAGGAGATGACACAGTTAGCTGGGGTCTAGAAGATTACGAAGACATGACACTTACAAGATGGACAGGGATGATAATTGGGCCTCCAGGAACAATTTATGAAAACCGAATATACAGCCTTAAAATAGAATATGGACCTAAATACTCAGAAGCACCCCCCTTTGTAATATTTGTAACAAAAAATTAATATGAATGGAGTTAATAGTTCTAATGGAGTGGTGGACCCAAGAGCCATACCAGTGCTAGCAAAATGGCAGAATTCATATAGCATCAAAGTTGTCCTGCAAGAGTTTCGGCGCCTAATGATGTCTAAAGAAAATATGAAACTCCCTCAGCCACCTGAAGGACAGTGTTAGAGCAATTAACCAAAAAGAAAAACCACAGGCCCTTCCCCTTCCCCCCAACATTCGATTTAAGCAGTCTTCATTTTTCAGTAGTAAATTTTCTAGATATGTCTTGTAGACCTCAGAGTACTGGAAAGGAAGCTCCCATTCAAAGGAAGTTAAGATACTGTAAATGATACTAATTTTTTGTCCATTTGAAATATATAAGTTGTGCTATAACAAATCATCCTGTCAAGTGTAGCCACTGTCCATGTAGTTGAACTTCTGGGATCAAGAAAGTCTGTTTAAATTGATTACCATCATAACTGGTGGGGCACATCTAACTCAACTGTGAAAAGACACATCACACAGTCATTTTGCTGCTGATTACACGGCCTGGGGTCTCTGCCTTCTCCCCTTACCCTCCCACCTCCCACTTTCCCTGCAACAACAGCCGTCTAGCCTGGGGGGCTTGTTAGAGTAGATGTGAAGGCTTCAGGTCGCAGCCTGTGGGACTACTGCTGGGTGTGTGGGGTGCTTTGCCTGCACCCCTGGTTTAAGTCTTAAATGATGCCCCTTCCAAGCCATCATCCTGTCCCCACACTCCTCCACTCCCACCTTTGGCCAAAGCATAGATTGTAACCCTTCCACTCACCTCTGAGATTGGCCTTTGGTGAGGAATTCAGAGCTTTCCCCATATCTTCTCTCCCCCACCTTTATCGAGGGGTGCTGCTTTTTATTCCCTCCTCAAGATCCTTTTTGCACCATCACCACCCAACACCTTCCATGAGACTTCCTTGCTTTGGCCAGAAGACATCAGGTAAGGTTGGAAAGAGTCTTTGACCTCCCTTGTTTAATTTTGTAACCATACTTATTCACTCTCCACCAGCCTGGGAAATGAATATTGGGTCCTCAGCCCTGCCACCCTCTGCTGTCATTGGCTGATGCGTTGTTTTTAGCTCAGGTTTTGATAAGGTGAAAAGAATAGTCACCAGGGTTACTCAGACCTGCCAGCTCTCAGAGTCCTTGGTGGTTAAACTCGGAGAAAGGCCACATGAAGACACTTGGAAGCACACGTGATCCTTCTGAATTGTTTTACTTTCATGTAATGGCTTTTGCTTTTAAAAATTGAAGTTTTAAACAGGGCTTTCATGGTCATCCTTGCAATCCATTGGGGTCTAGTTTGGAATCTGAAAACTGGAACAAAAAGAACCTTGAATCCGGTGCATGCCTTGGTTTTGGTGCTGCTGCTGCTTCTCAAGATCCTCAGCAGGGATTAAGAAAGAACCCGGTGTGCACAGCAGATCCCCGAAATTGGTTGGCTTGACCTCCTGGCAAATTGCTGCGTCTTTCCACTTTCTGTTCAGGACCACTAAATGCTGAAATTTGGATGCATACCAAAATAAAAGCAATTCATTGTGTAAAAAAAGTTATTATTAATAAACTAAAAAAGTCATATTATGATATTAAATGATGTTAGGATATGTATGTGTAAACAGTTTGGGGGCCAGGCACAGTGGCTCACACTTGTAATCCCAGCAGTTTGGGAGGTTGAGGTTGGTGGATTACTTGAGTCCGAGAGTTTGAGAAAGAAACAGTTTGTGAATAGGAATGGGTGTAGAAGAACTACATCTTTGCCAGAAGTCAATATTTAGTTTCTAAATTGATAAATCAAAAAATAGTGATAGAAGCATATTGTATCAAAACTGGAGGTAAATACCAAAAATAAAATGAAGTGAGTTCTAAGTGGTTGCTTCTTTTTTAAAAAAATTATTTTTTGAAAATGCGGAATGCTTCACAAATTTGCATGTCATCCTTGCACAGGGGCCATGGTAATCTTCTCTGTATCCTTCCAATTTTAGTATATGTGCTGCTGAAGGGAGCACCTAAGTGTTTGTTTATGAGGAGTGAGACTAGTGGGGGTTTGGGAAAGGTTGGAGTTGGGGATTACCATTTTTTATTATAAGCCTTCTGTACCATTTGATTTTTAAAGCCATGGACATGGATTATTTTGATTAAAATTTTATTTAAAACAAAGGCAAAAAATATACAATATACACAAGTCTGTATGTGCATGTGTGTATGTATAAATATATATGTGCCCATTATTGAAGATAATCAGTACCAAAGTTTCTGAAAAAATAGTTTCCTTGTATGGTAAAACATTTATTAATATGTATAGGGCAAATATAATTGATAAATTTTTGATTTATTATTCTGTTCACACTAGTTTATACCAAAAGAGTCATTTCTGAACATCAGAAAATAATTCTGATTGTCCTAATGATATTGACTTAATTATTTCAATGTTTTTGCCCTCTGTTGCAGTTGCAGGATGTGAGTTTGAATCTATGGAATGTCTACAGCAAGATGGATCCTATGTCTCTGGAGAGTTTGCTTTCAGATGTAAGGAGCCAAACAGTAACTTTTAAATATTAGTATTACGTCCAGCTCAGTTACCTGCTAGTGATCTTTAATTTGAAGAAATGCAAAGGATATTTTAGTTTGCTTCGGTCAAAAAATAGAGCAGTTTCTTCCTTGATTATTGTCTTGAATTCCTTGGGGGTATAAAGGAACCTGGCAAAGTGACACTGCTCCCTCTTCCACTCTGAGGTGACTTCACTGGAGGCAAAACCAGGGCCTCCTGCCTGGCCTTTAGGTTTAGGTTTTTATCTAAAGGCATTCTTTCTGTTGGACTGGACTTTAGAAAAACAATGCAGAAGGCTTTCTCTGGCATGAAAAGATAGAAAGATGAGATTATGGCTTAAAGGAATCAAGGATTAGAGCCCGGGGGGCAAACTTTTTCTGTGAAAGTCTAGTTAGTGATATTTTAGCCTTTGTGTGCCTTATGGTCTCAGTGGCAACTACTTAACAATGCCATAGTAGCATGAAAACAGCTCTAGACAGTGTTTAAACAAATGGGTATGTCTGTGCTCCCAGGAAACTATTTACAAAAATACACGGCCTGTCTATATCAGGATCGGGGGGAAATTTGCAACGAGCGGCAACAAACAGAACTAAAGCTTTAGGACTCTGTACTCTGGTTAGGCAGGTCAGTGGTGTCTCTCAGTGGCCATAGATAGATATGCATGGTCACAGACTTAGAATTAGCCATTTCACCAAAGAGCTTCAGTACAATTAGTGAGGAACAATATTTAACAACCAAGATCTGGGCATTAGGTATGTTTCTTGCTTCTGTGGGGACATTGGTTTTAGGCCCTTTGAGTGGGCATGCTGAGAAAATAAAGTAAAAGAATAATAAGGAAAAGATACAGTTTCAAAAATTGTCTTTCCTTGAAAGAACGGAAGGTTTGAATCTACGTATTCAAAAGGGCAGACTGGGCACAGTGGCTCACGCCTGTTATCCCAGCAGGTGTGAGGAGGCTGAGGCAGGTGGATCACCTGAGGTCAGGAGTACAAGACCAGCCTGGCCAACATGGTGAAACCCCATTTCTACTAAAAATACAAAAATTAGCCAGGCACAATGGCACGCGCCTGTAATCCCAGCTACTCAGAAGGCTGAGGCAGGAGAATCGCTTGAATCCAGGAGGTGGAGGTTACAATGAGCTGAGATCATGCCCCTACACTTCAGCCTGGGTGACAGAGCAAGACTCCATCTAAAAAAAAAGAAAAGGGTATACCATGCCCCAGAGAAAATTGTCCCACAATGGTCAACACTGAGACATATTCTAATAAAGTTAATAGACTTCCCCTCAAGCCCTAAATCCCCCCAGAAAACAATAAAATGCGTTGGCATCCAGGTACAGATAAAGTAGAAAAATGCAGGGTGGCCTTGAGTTTCTCCATAGCAGAAAAAAAAATGAAGCAACATACCTATAATAAAATCCTCAAGAACAAAAATATAACACCCAAATTTTATTTTATTTATTTATTTTAAAAATATATATATTTTTAGAGACAGGGTCTTGCTCTGTTCCCAAGCTGGAGTGCAGCGGTGATCATAGCTCACTACAGCCTTGAACTCCTGAGCTCAAGTGATTCTTGCACCTCAGCCTCCTGAGTAGCTGGGACTACAGGCGTGCATCACCACACCTGGCTAATTTTTTATTTTTTTTGTAGAGATCAGGTCTTGCTGTGTTGCCCAGAGTGGTCTTAAATTGCTGGAACCCGGGAGGCAGAGGTTGCAATGAGCCGAGATTGTACCATTGCGCTCCACACTCCAGCCCGGGCAACAACAGCGAGATTCTGTCTAAAAAAAGAAAAAACCTGAAAAATTAAGTAATAAAGATATAAATAACAATACAAAATGAAATGAACAGTAAAAGATAAAGCTGGATGGGTGAGGAAGGAGGGATTAGGAAAAAGAAGTATACTAATTTTATTACTGAACATGGTCAGAGATTAAGAAAATTGAGCATTAAAGTTTTTACATTAGTTAACAAGGTAAACACTAGCACTCGGTAATATTTATTTATTTATTTATTTTTTTGAGACAGAGTCTCACTCTGTCGCCCAGGCTGGAGTGTAGTGGTGCGATCTTGGCTCACTGCAACTTCCACCCCCACAGGTTCAAGTGATTCTCCTGCCTCCGCCTCCCAAGTAGCTGGGATTACAGGCGCGTGCCACCACGCCTGGCTAATTTTGTATTTTTACTGGAGATGGGGTTTTGCCATGTTGGCCAGGCTGGTCTTGAATTCCTGACCTTAAGTGGTCCGCCCACCTCGGCCTCCCAAAGTGCTGGGATTACAGGCCTGAGCCACCACACCTGGCCTCACTAATAATTTAAGTAATGAAAACACTACATATCAGAGTATTTGAAAAACAGCTAAAGGAGTGCTTGTAAGAAATTTTTAATTGAAAATAAGTAGCCAAGTGAAGAAGGGGAAAAGAGTAAGGAAAGAATTCACTGCATGGAAAGCAGAAAATAATGAAATAGAACATAGGAATTTATAAATAATCCCAGCACTGGTACTTTGGACCTGAAAATAATGAAATAGAGAAACCATTAGCTTAATTGTGGTAGGTTATATTATTTTTTCATACCTTTTTTTTTCCCTTCATGCCCTTGTTATAGTTGACAGTGGTTATTCTTTCCTGTTACACTGATGTTGGCCCTGGTCATATGGAAGGTGATTGGTCATAACATGACATGTCTGACCAGAGGCCTTCGGTGTTCTTGTGTAATTTTTCTTGGCCTCTTATACTCTTGCTGTGAGAACTTTTCTCAGGTAGTTGCTGCTTTATGTGTGGGTCCTGAAATGACATACATAGAACAGACTGTAACAGTCCAGCTGAGCCATAGCCAGCCTGCAGACCTGTAAGCAATAACCTCACTAATAAACTAATCTAACAAGAAAAAAAAGGGAAAAAGCAGAAATTTCAAAAGAGAAAAGAGGGCAATGATAGGTACAAGGAAGTTAAGAGTCATAAGAAAGTAATTGCATCATTTCAATGCAAACACATTTGGTTAAAGGTTAATTAAAATAGGCCCCAGGATAGATAGAAAATCTAAAATAACCAATTGAAAAAAGGCAGAGAAATTACCAGGAACACATTTCGTAATTCTCCTAAAACCTTCAAATATAGTTTCAGAGCTATTTAAAAGTTCAGATCTGGCCGGGCTCTAAACCAGGCTCTGAATTTGGGCTGGATTAGCAGCTCACGCCTGTAATCCCAGCACTTTGGGAGGCCGAGGCAGGTGGATCACCTGAGGTCAGGAGTTCAAGACCAGCCTGGCCAACATGGTGAACCCTCATCTCTACTAAAAATACAAAAATTAGCTGAGCATTGTGGCACATGCCTGTAATCCCAGCTACTTGGGAGGCTGAGGCAGGAGAATCACTTGAACCCGAGAGATGGAAGTTGCAGTGAGCCAAGATCACACCTCCAGCCTGGGCAACAGAGCGATACTCTGTCTAAAAAAATAAATAAAAGTTCAGATCCTACCCTTAAAACGTTTTAATGTAGTGATGAACTAAAACCAGACAGCATTGAAAAAGAACATCTTGCAAACTTTTAATGAAATTAGCTTAAAACAAAAATTCAGACGGCACTGGATCTGAAAAAAAAAAGAGAAATTAGCTGTTATCAAAACTCAATAAAAAGAAACTAAAGAAAATGAAAACTACAGACCAGTATTATGAATATTGATACCAGTATTTTAAGTTAAATATTAGCAAACAGAACCTAGTGTCATATTAAAATAATATTCTATGAAGTAGGGTTTATTAAAGGTTCTATATTTAGTTCAATATCTGGAAATCTACTAGTGTAATTGCTATATGAATTTTTCCTCTTGGAGGCTTTTGTAATGACTCTATAGATGCTAAAAAAAGGCATTTGATAACATTGAACATCTGTTCTATTTAAAAATTTCTTTTTTTTTTTTTGAAACACAGTCTCACTGTCACCCAGGCTGGAGTGCAGTGGCACAATCTCAGCTCACTGCAGCCTCCACCTCCTGGGTTCAAGTGATCTCATACCTCAGCCTCCTGAGTAGCCGGGACTACAGGTGTGTGCCACCATGCCTGGCTAATTTTTGTATTTTTAGTAGAGACGGGGTTTTACCATGTTGACCAGGCTGGTCTCAAACTCCTGACCTCAGGTGATCTGCCTGCCTCGGCCTCCCAAAGTACTGGGATTCCAGGCATTAGCCACCAAACCCAACCTCTGTTTAAACATTTATAATTAAAGAAGAATGTAAAAGAAAAATAACATCAGAAATTTTTGGTTTTTGAAAAAACATCATCATCCCCTGGCGAACCTAATTATGAAAAAAAGTGAAAATGCACAAATATACAGAGAATGTAAGAATTAGGAAGACCATTTAACCACAGATAAAGAAGAGAGACAGGTAATTTAGTAGTATCTGCATGCAGTCTCCTCAACTGAGGATACTGCAGGTCACACATAGAGGCCAGAATAGCACTGTAGTTTTAAGAACATTGCTAGTGTCCCTAGAGTCAGTGGAGAGGGTCCACTCGGGAGAGCATCTTTAATTGCACCTGGAACAGCAGCGACATCATGCAGCTGAAGCAGCAACAGTGGTGATCACCATGGGCTGTAGAACATGCTCTTTCCTAGTTTTCTGACTTCTATGAGCTTGATTCTTAGGTGATGGGAAGGAGAAGGAAGCCCTTTTGATGTGTGATAGTGGACTTCTCATCCATCCTGAAGAGTAAAGGCTGAGAGCCAGATTCAACTGTATTTGGAAATAATAAAGTAAGGTGACAACTCTGCCTGGAAGTGCTCAGGATTGCTTCTTAGAGGAGTCATGTGTGGTAATCAGAGATTTTCCAGAAAGGGGAGAAGGTGGTAGAACATTCTAGACAGAGAGAGAAGGAGGCTTTCTGAAAGTGCCAGAATAGTCCTCTGCTGAATTTTGAGAGAAGGTGCTCAAATGTGGCTGCTTTGCCCTCACTGGTATTTAAGCCGGTCCTTGCCTAACTTGAGGATGGTACAATGAATATGGACTTGGAGCCACCCAAGAGCTGCCTCTGCTGGATGCCAGCCTAGAGCCAGGAGTTCTGTTTGAAGTTCAGTATCTTTGTCCTCTGGCTAAGGGCCAAGGCACAGTGGCATGGTTCTTGACCTCTGTTGCATCTTTCTTCTGGATTTGGCCTTGAAGAATCTGAATGATAAACTTTCCATCCACCTGACCAGTTCCACTTACTTACAACAGTATCCATTTCCACAAATGCAGTGTTTATGTTGGGGAAAAGTTGGGAGAATAGCATGTCTAGCGGAAAGCACACAGGTTCTAGGTATCTTTTGTCTAGATATTTTTCTGCTTTTGCTGCTTGTTAGTCTTGAATCCTCAGGCAAGTCACTTTATTGCCTGGTGCCTCAGTCTCTTCTGTAAAGTGGGCATAGAGAAGTAACAAAGATGTCAGAAAGATTTAAAAGGACAATATACATAAAATAACATTTCATATAGAATGCTGGTGATTTTTAATAAGAGTCATTGCATCTTGCATTGGAAAAATAGAATGTGCATGGAGCTAAAAGCAGCACTTAATGATTCATTCTACCTTATTCTATAATTAGTACTGACATATCCACCTCCCTCAGGGGTGGTTTTTTGGGTAACAAAGTGCCTATCTTCTTCTCTGTAACCCCTAAAGCACACTGCGTTTTTCACCTACAAGTTAGCAGAGAATTGGTATTGCTTGACTGTGTGACTGCTTCCTGTCATAGACCCAAACCAAAATGGGTGTCACCAGGCAGGCCATTTAAGTGGAAATATACCTCCTGAGTCTGTTTCTAATAGAATTGAAACACAGTGTGTTCTGTATTAATAGCCTTTTTTTTTGCGGGGGGGGGGGTGGTGCGGGGGGACAGGGTCTCACTCTATTACCCAGGCTGGAGTGCAGTGGTGCTATCTCGGCTCACTGCAACCTCTGCCTCCCAGTCTCAAGTGGTTCTCCCACCTCAGCTTCCCTAGAGGCTGGGACTGCAAGCACTTGCCACCACACCTGGCTAATTTTTGTGTTTTTTAAATAGAGACAGGGCCTTGCTGTGTTGCCCGGGCTGGTCTCAAACTCCTGGGCTCAGGTGATCTGCCCACTCCCAAAGTGGATGAGCCACCGCACCCGGTCCCTTTTTGTTTTTTTAAAGTCTCACAAAGTGAAGCATTCTGGTAAAGCTGAAGAGGTTGGACAGAGCCAAGTAAGCAAGGCAAAGATGCACTCTGAGATGGGTGGCTTTGGGCACAGCTTCCCTGAGGCCAGTGATGTGCATTATGAGTATCAGAGAGAGAGAGCAGACAAATGTCAGGATGTTGTGGGGAGGGCTCAGATGTATATATTTATTTACATATATATACACATATGTTATATATATGTTATATATATCTGTATATATTATATAACATCTGTATACATGTTATATATAATGTGTTATATATACATATATTTACATATTGAGGATATGTCACTTTATTGCTTGGTGCCTCAGTCTCTTCTGTAAAGTGGGCATAGAGAAGTAACAAAGATGTCAGGAAGATTTAAAAGGATAATATACATAAAATAACATTTCATATAGAATTATTTCATATGGAATTTACATATATATATAACATGTAAATATATATTTATGCATATATATATATATATAAATATTTTGAACTCATAGATTTAAACATATTTGATGTGTTGATATCCATTGCAATTACCATCTTTCTCACAGCCAGCCTTGGGCCGACCTGCAGTAGAGGCAGTACTGAAGATACCTAGTGTGCAAGGTCTGATAATAAGCACTTGATACAGGTTATTTCACTTAATTCCTGTAATATCTCTGCAAGGTAGATAGTAGTCATCCCAGCTATATAAGGCATTTGAAGCTCAGGTTAAGTTGCTTGCCCAGGGTCACACAGCCAGTAAGACGCAGAGATTCAAGCACAGGTTTTTCTGAATTGAAACGTTCTTTAACTGCTGGAATGTGAATGACAGCCAACTGGAAAAGGAGAGTAGATCTGGGACCAGAGAGGTCAGACAGACATTGAAGGTCTGTGGTTAAAGTGTTAGTTGGCAGCGCTAGAAGTGTATTTATCTCCAGAGTCCAGAAGGGGATAACCCAGTGCCAAAGTGGAAAGATTGCCCTGGGCCCAGGATACAGGGGCACTGATTGGACCTGATAGCAGGGAGTCAGAAACCCAGACCCAAAAGGATTGGTTTATCGGGCCGAGGCACAGAGGTGGTATGGCAAAGCATTCTAACCCAGGACCCTGCAGATTACCAGTTACAAGTACATGCGCATTTCTATATACAAAATACTATGTAAAAATAAGTTGAGAGAACATTTCCCAAAGTGTTTACAGTGATTCTTATTCTGTTTTCTGTAATGAACAAATAATACTTATGCATTTGCTTTTAAAGACTTTTCATTATTAAAATAACATAGATGGCCAGGTGTAGTGGCTCACACCTGTAATCCCAGCACTTTGGGAGGCCAAGGCGGACAGATCACTTGAGGTCAGGAGTTTGAGACCAGCCTGGCCAACATGGTGGAACCCCATATCTACTAAAAATACAAAAAATTTAGCTGAGATCATGCCACTGAGATCACGCCTGGGTGACAGAGCAAGACTTTGTCTCAAAATAAATAAATAAATAAATAAATAAATAAAATAACACAAACTCAGAAAATAGCATAAAACTGATGTACAATCTAATAACTTATTGTAAAGCAAAGCAACAGAACCTCCATTACCTCCTTCCTCTTCCCACAAGAATAACACTATCGTGAATTCTATGGTAGTCATCTCCTTACTTTTCTTTGCAATTTTATCATCCAAATGTGATTTTATAAACATAGGTTAGTTTTGTTTGCCTGCCCTGTATGCATGTGTGTGTTTTCGGTTTCTTTTAATCTGTAGGTTTTCTCTATCTCTTTGTCCCCCTGCCCCCTAGCTGTCTGTTGAAGAAACCAGATCATTTGTCTTATAGTTGCCATCAGTTGAAATTTTTTTTTTTTTTTGAGATGGAGTCTCACTCTTGTTGTCCAGGCTGGAGTGCAGTGGCATGATCTTGGCTCACTCCAGCCTCCACCTCCTAGGTTCAAGTGATTCTCCTGCCTCAGCCTCTCCAGTAGCTGGGATTACAGGTGCATGCCACTATGGCTGGCTAATTTTTGTATTTTTAGTAGAGACGGGGTTTCTCCACTTTGGCCAGGCTGGTCTTAGTAAGGTGCTAAGGCCTGCCTTAGCCTCCCAGAGTGCTGGGATTACAGGCATGAGCCACTGCACCTGCCCCAGTTGAAATTTTCTTAATTGTATTCCCATGATGTAGTTTAACATTTTCCCCTGTCTCCTGTTTATCCTGATCATTGGTAATTGAATCTAGAGGTTTAATCAGTTTCAGGGTTGATTTTTGGAGAAAAGACTACTTCCTACAGGGTGTTATATTCTTTATCAAGAAGCACATAATGTCTAATTGGTTCTCTTTTTGTTTTGTGAACAGCAATGGATGTGTAATCCCTAGATCCTTAATTCATTAATTAGATCCTCAATTCACCATTGCACAATGGTGTTACTCCAATTGTATATATATACATAAATATATTGTATATATGTATATTGTATTTTGAACTCATAGATTTAAACATATTTGATGTGTTTATATCCATTGTAATTACTACCATCTTCAGTGACGCTCAAATTTTTCTATCTTTGGATAATGAACTCCCTTCAAGTTGTTTCACAATTTAACAGAATCTTATTTTAACAGAATACTAATAGTCCTTGATAACTTCCTTGCCAGCTACTATGTTAAGATATCCCAGCCTTATCTTTACATTTCCTGTCTGAGACCCACTCTCAGTCAGTTCTCTAAAATGTTCTGGTTTCTTTGAATGAGAAGTGGTATTTCAGCACCACAATCTGAGTGCTAGAAGTACTCATTGCTGCTGGTTTGGCCATTGTTTCTAAATCTCTTCAGTAGATAGAGCTAGGAAATATTTTCTGTCTCTTTCTCTCTCTCTGTCTCCCTCCTCCTAATATGTGTATGTATGTATATATAGATAGATAGATAAGATACCTGTATACACACACACATTTTTTTTTGTTTTATCCTACGTTATATATAAAACATACTCAGAAAACACTATCAGCACTGTCACCTACATGATGACTAAAAGGAATTTTTTTGGTAGAGATGGGGTGTCACTATGTTGCCCAGGCTGATCTCGAACTCCTGGGCCCAAATGATCCTCCCCCTCAGCCTCCCAAAGTGCTGGGATTGCAGGCATGAGCCACCATACCTGGCCAGAATTTGTGTGTGTGTGTGTGTGTGTGTGTGTGTGTGTGTCTGTGTGTCTGTGTGTCTGTGTGTCTGTGTGTCTGATAGTCTGGGCAGCAAGTAGACAATGTTTACATTGTCTTCCCAGCAGTGTTGCCTTGTGCTTTATGTCTAGGGCCAGAAGTAGAGTCAGTACTTGGCTAGCACAGAGGTCTGAGTACTTGTGTATCCTTGAGAGGAGGAGGGCGTAGATCTGGCCAGTGAGTTTTGGTGCAGCAAACAGAATGCCTGCTATGAGCAAGGCACTAGACTGGGCGACTAACATACATACCCTTCCATGGTGTAAAATGGACAGGGAAGATGACTGTCCAATTTGAGTACAAATTATTAGCAACTTCAAAATAAGGACAAGGATAATACTTGAGGAGTATCTTAAGCAAGTCCTAATTGGTGGGGTTTTTTTGTTAATTGATGATAACCTTCAAGAAAAGCCCATAGCAAAAAGCAATTTGTAGTGCTTGAGAATAAGAATGAGTTCAGAAAGGATGCTAAAAAGCAGCTGGGATGGGGAATGGAGGCTGTATGTAGAGGAGAGTCAGCTAAGAAGGGTGCAGTTTCTCAGTGCTCATGTGGCTACTAGAAAGAGGGCATAAGGAAGGAGAGGGCTCTGTGCCACCCTTCCCTTTAACTAAAGTCAACCAGTCCTTCAACAAAGCTGCTCAGATGTGACCCTTTTGGCACTGGACATGGTACCATCCTTTAGGTGCCCTGTAAATAAATTCCTCCCAACAGGGTTGCTAAAATAAGGTGCTTAAGGATCATTACTGTCCATTCATTCATTTTTCAGACAGAGTCTCGTTCTGTCACCCAGGCTGTAGTGTAGCAGCACAATCCCAGTTCACTCCAACTTGGACCTCTTGGGCTCAAGCAATCCTCCCGCCTCAGCCTCCTGAGTAGCTGGGACAACAGGTGCGCACCACCAAGCTCAGCTCGTTTTTTTCATGGTGTTTTTTTTTTTTTTGTTTTTTTTTTTGGTAGAGACGAGGTCTCATCATGTTGCCCAAGCTGGTCTGGAAGTCCTGGGGCTCATGTGATTCTCCCACCTGGGCCTCCCAAAGTTCCGGAGTTACAGATGTGAACCACTGCTCCTAGCTATCCTTTTAAATGGCTTTATTTGGAGTATAATTTATGTACCATAATATTCATCCATTTTAAGTGTACAACTCAACGATTTTTAGTGAATTTACAGAGAACATTTTCATCGCCCAGAAAGTTCCCTTGTGCCCACTTGCAGTCAGTCTCCATCCCAACCCCAGGCAACCACTAGTCTACTTTTTGCCTCTACAGATTTGCTTTTTCTGGATATTTCATATGACTGGACCACATATCAGGTGGTTTTCTACATCCAGCTTTTTCATTTGGTATAATGTTTTTGAGATTCATCCATAGGAGTAGCATGTACTAGTAGTTTGCTACTACCTTGTAAAATAACATATATAAATGGTCTGGTGTTTTGAGATAAGTTACAGTTTCATAATTCTCGTTTTCTAAAATACCTCCTTTATATGACCAAACACGTTATCTTTTTCCTTTTTTTCCCAGGATTTGGTGGCTTTTGAACATCAGTGGACTAGCTTCTTCGCTAATTTTGACACAGAAATTCCTTTCCTGCTAGAACTTTCAGAATCTCAGGCGGGTGAGGTATGTAAGGGAAGGGTCAAAGAGGAAGAATAAAATGGTTAATTTATTTATTGTTTTAATTTTTTATTAAATTTTTTTCAAAATACAACACTATCAATTCTAATTTGTCATTTCTTTAAGCTGTGTTGTATACCATAAAGTAGTTCCCCCCCATGCCAACCCTTTATAAAAAGTTGTCTTTTATTTTGTGCCAGCTTCTCCATTAGAAGGATTTTTGCTTTGCAGTGTGGTGGTGCCAGGAATTCTACTGGGCACCAGTTAATAGACGTAGGAATAATTATCCACATGTGAGTAGCACACCTTTGTCAGTATAACCTCCAGATAATGAATGCCAAGATGTCTTTCCAAGCAGATGACGCTAGTCAGCAGTTACCAGGCTCATGAGTAAACCTGAAGTATCTAGATTGACAACCAAGACACAGGACAGCCTCAAAAACTAATCAGCAGGAAGGATCCAAGGAATCCTTCTAAGCTAGCATTCTAGCCTTCTTGGGCACTCACTGCAGCCCTCAACTCTGCTGTGCTCCCCTGTGGCTCAGAGCAAGCCCTCCTGCTGATGGTATGGAGCTGGAATTGATCTTTGTTGTTACGCATTTTACCTTTGAAATGGAGTCTCACTCTGTCGCCCAGGCTGGAGTGCAGTGGCATGATCTCGGTGCACTGCAACCTCTTCCTCCAGGGTTCAAGCAATTCTCCTGCCTCAGCCTCCCAAGTAGCTGGGATTACTGGCACACACCACCATGCCCAGCTAATTTTTGTATTTTTAGTAGAGATGGGTTTTACCATGTTGACCAGGCTGGTCTCGAACTCCTGATCTCAATCGCCCGCCTCAGCCCCCCAAAGTGCTGAGATTACAGGCGTGAGCCATCGCATCCGGCTACCTTTACATATTTTATAAACTCCACAATACAATGCTCTTATGTTTCCTTAAACAATCAATTACCTTTCTTAAAGATTTAAATAATAGGGAAAAAGTCTTATATATTTGCCAGTGTATCGCTTCTCAGCCTTTTGGCTAAGGTCAAGTGTAATATATTTGCCCATGTTGTTGCTCTCTCTGGTGCTCTTCATTCCTTTGTGTAGACCCAGACTTCCCCTTGGCATCCTTCTCCTTGAAGGTTGGTCTTTAATATTTTTTTGTGGTATTAATCTTCTGATGATAAATTCTTGCAGCTTTTGAGTGTCTGGAAAAAAAATCTTTATTTCGCCTTCATTTTTGAAATATATTTTTGCCATGTCTAGATTCTAGATTGACAATTTTTACCTTTTGATACTTGAAAGATCTTGCTTCAGTGTCTTCTTGCTTGCATTATTTCTGATGAGAAGTCCTTCATCCTAATCTTTGTACATAGCATAGTCTTTTATTCTAATCTCTGAATATAAGCAGGCCTTTTTTTTTCCCCCTCTGGCAGCTTTTAAGATTTTCTCTTTATTACTGATTTTGAGTAGTTTGATTATGGTATGTCTTGCTGTAGTTTTCTTCATGTTTCTTGTGCTTGGATTTTGTTGAGCTTCCTAGGTCTGTAGATTTATAGTTTCCTTTAAGTTTGGAAAGTGTTTCGCTGTTAACTCTTCAAATGTTTTTTCTTTTCCAAACCTCTCTTCTTTCCTTGAGGGACTCCATTTGCTTCTACATTAGACCACTTGAAGTTGTTCCAGTGGTCTATCCTTTTCAGTTTGGGGAGTTCTTTTTTCTTCTTCTATTACTATGATTCTAAGAGTGAAAGAGATTCCACAAGGTATACTCAGAAGTGTCACTGTCGTTTCCTGTTACTCTTTTCTTATTGCCTTCTTCTTTCCACCCATTTTCCCCACTCCATTGACAGTAGGTAACAAACCTCTTGAGTTTCTCATTTACCTTTTCTATTTCATTTGCACAAATGAGCAAATACATGTGCATTTTCTCATATTCTCACCTTTCTAACATTGAAGGGTAGCATATAGTCATTTCCACTTAACAGTATATCCTGGAACTCTCTCGCAGTCCTTTTTTTTTTCTTTGTTTTCTTAACAAAGTAAACATATTCAAGTCAGTTCATTGGGATCTTTGTTACAATTCATAGTACTCCATTTTGTGGATTTGTCTTAATTTATTCAGCCCCTCTTGTATGTGCACATAATGAGGTTGTTTCTAATATTTTGCCATTACAAACAGAGTCATAGTAAATAACTCAGCGCTTATGTATGTTCCTATTGTTGGAGGTATATATACGTACCTAGTGATGGGATTGCTGGGTCAAAAGGTGAGTGCATATGTCATGTTGTTAGTTATTGCCAAAGTCCCCTTCAGAAGGGTTGTACCAGTTTGCATTCCCACCAGCACTATATGAATGCCTGTTGCTGCACAACTTCACCAATAGAATGTATTGTCATACTTTAAAAATTTTCAGTCTCACAGATGAAAAATAGTATATCGGTATTGTTTTAATTTACATTTCTGTATTAGTAAGTTTGAACATTCCCTCATATGTTTGATGACCATTTTATATTTTGTTTACATATTGTTTTTCCATTTTAATATTAGTACAGTTATTAACTGAACTATAGAGCATAGGTTTTAGGAGGGTTTTTTGTCCCCTGGCTTTTTTTTTGGGATGGAGTGTCGCTCTGTCGCCAGGCTGGAGTGCAGTGGCGCGATCTCGGCTCACTGCAACCTCCGCCTCCCGTGTGCCCTGGTTTTTAAGAGTTTGTTATATAATTGGGCTATTAGCATTTTGTCTCTAGTATATACTCCAAATACTTTTTCCATATTTGTCAGTTGGTTTGTTTATAATGGGTTTTTTTCTTGCCATGCAAACATTTTTGTTTTTATGTAAATTGATCTGCCTTTTCTTTCATTGCCTCTGGATTTTGAGTCATTATATAGGGAAAGGCTGTAATTGAAAGTTACCCTCTAGCACTTGTATGGCTTGAATTTTTACATTTAGATCCCTAATCCAAATGTAATTCGTGGGAATATGTTGTGAGATATGGATCTACTTTTATTTTTTCCCTCAAATCATTACCAAGTTAGAATCCCAGCTATACAGTTCACTAGCTCTGTGACCTTGGACAAGTAAATTAACTTTTGTATCTTTGTCAACTCATCTCTAGAGAGGAAATGATAGAATGAAGCTCATAGGTTGTTATTAGGATTGCTTGAGATGATAAGTGCCTATCACAGTCACATGGTAAGCCCACGATAAATTTTAAGTATAATGTTAATCTATAGTTTTTACACATCAGTAAGACAAACATCAGAACTCCAATTGAGCCAGGCGGGGTGGATCACTTGAGGTCAGGAGTTCAAGACCAGTCTGACTAACATAGTGAAACCCTGTCTCTACTAAAAACGCAAAATTAGCCGGCTGTGGTGATGCACACCTGTAATCCCAGCTACTTGGGAGGCTAAGGCAGGAGAATTGCTTGAACCTGGGAGGCGAAAGTTGCAGTAAGCTGAAATCATGCCACTGCACTCCAGCCTGGGCAACAAGAGCAAAACTCTGCCTCAATAAATAAATAAATAAACACTCCAATTGATAAATATCCGGAGAATGTAAATAAACTGTTAACTAATGAAGGGAAATCCAAATAGCCACTGAACATGTCTAAAATATTCTACTTCATTAAAAATGCCAAGGGGTATAAAAGAAGACAACAAACAATGAGGTCCCATTTTTCATTTTTCAACTTGGCAGATATATTGAAACCATTTCATAGGCAGTGCTTATGAGGAGACCATGAGACAAGCACACTCATATTGTAGGTAGACATGTACATGGATAGAACTTAAAAAACAATTTGGCAACATAGTTCTGCCTTTTTATTCTATGATTTCATTTCCAGATCTGCCTTAAGGAAATCATCAGAGCTGCAGATTAAATTTATTAAGTTCACTACATGAGGTGTGTGTGTGTGTGTGTGTGTGTGTGTGTGTGTGTGTGTGTGTGTGTGTATGTGTGTGTATTTTTTCCATTATATTGAAGAATTAATAACAATATAAATTTCCATGAACAGAAGACTATTTAATAAAGTTTAGTGCAATCATATATTATCTATGATGTACCATAGAGAAAAGATTTGAAGAAAATTTACCAAAATGTTGATAGTTTTTAGACATTATAGGTGGTTTTTATTGTCTTCTACAATGAACATATATTAATCAGAAAAAAAACAGTAAATATTATTTAGCGGGATTAAAATTACCATTTGAATTTTTGGATTCTTTGGACATGAGAGCATGCATGTTAAGTTTTGATTAGTGTTTAGCCTCACACTATGCATCCAAAAGCTGAGACTTATTTCATTGATTTCCCAGGAAACTTCCATCAGTATATTTCGAAATTCCTTGGATTAGCACAGCAGAATTTGTATATATTAATGTATTGGAAATGTAGAAGACATTTTTTTAAAAAAATCTCCACATGATTAGCAACTTGGACCATAGATGGTGATTGGTCCAATTTTCTTGCAGTAAACACTGTACATTAAAAGGATTTTTTTCTTTATTTTCCTTTTTGCAGGTTTTTGTCTTTTTTTCTTTTTTGGTATTATTTTGTTTGCCACTTATTCCTAAAATTCATATTGCTATTAACCGTACACATCTTTCCATGTTCTTATAATAATCTACAAACATCTCTCCCTTTCTGTAGCTCTCTCTGTCACACACACGCACATGCACACACGCACACACACACACACACACGCTGTGCACTCTCCTGAAGCATGTGTGTACATACATACATATGTGAGGGGTTTTATGACTGTTTTACCAAATTGTGTTCTTAATATATACAATGTTGGCTTCTTTTTAGCCATTCAGAAGTTATTTCAGTCATGGAATGATCTCTAGCCATATAACTGAAAACAGGTAAGTTTCTTTCTTGGGGAAGAAGGGCGAATGGTGATAGAGAAAATGGAGGTGGCAAAGGGGTTGGCTGTGGGGGTGCATTCAAGTTCAGAAGCTAGAGTCAGGAAAATATGGGTTGACTTTAGTTATCACAGGGTAAGAAATCTGTACTCTGTAAATGTGTCTGTTTCTCTGCTTTCATTTTTATTTTATTATTTTATAGTAAACTAGCTTTTGAAACACTGTTGTCAGCCAGGTGCGGTGGCTCATGCCTGTAATCCCAGCATTTTGGGAGGCCAAGGTGGGCAGATCACCTGAGGTCAGGAGTTCGAGACCAGGCTGACCATCTCTACTAAAAATACAAAAATTAGCCAGGTGTGGTGGCATGCGCCTGTAATCCCAGCTACTCGGGAGGCTGAGACAGGAGAATCACTTGAACCCAGGAGGCGGAGGTTGCAGTGAGCCGAGATCGTGCCATTGTACTTCAGCCTGGGCAACAAGAGTGAAACTCTGTTTCTAAATAAATAAATAAATCACTGTTGTCTGCTAAAATCTAAAGAAAGGAATTTTTAATTTCATTCCTGGCTCAGGAAAATGACAGGAAGCAAATGAAAATAAATAAATGGGACCTAACAAATGAACATGCTTCTGCACAGCAATAGAAATAATCATCAGAGTACACAGAGAATCCTCAGAATGGGAGAAACCATTTGCAAATTATGCATGTGACATATGCATAGTCCGAGGGCTGGGCAGGGGAGCAACAGTGGCTTGCAGGCAGTAAAAGGGATCAGGGTGTGAAGGTCCAGCCCCACGAAGATGGGTTCAATGAGGGTTCGAAAGTGTTTTCTCCCACATCTCTTTTGTCATGATCAGCAGGAGATACTTCCTCTGATGGATAGAGAGGACATTTCTTCTCTCTTTTCTTCCCCCAATTCCAATCCAATCTAATAGTGAAACAAAGTACCCTGGCTAGGACTCAGAGTCATCTTTTTCTGCCCAAAGTGTCACCTAGCTTGAATTAAGCTTCAGAAAAAAAATCAGCCATGCTTACTTTTAAAAGCCTTGTTTGCCTGTAGCTTAAGGTAGTATTTTTAAGAGTAGTGAAAAGAAATGCAAATAATTCTTTACATGGCGCTCACTGAGGGCAATTTAGGAAGAAGATAGAGGATAGAGTCATCAAATATTCACTGAGAACTACGACATACCAATCAAGAGAGATTCATGGTTTAAAAAAAGGAAGCAAATATGATTACTGCCCTCATAAAGTTTATAGGGTAGTGGAGAAAAAGACATTAATCAAACATCTTAACAAAGAAATCTGTTATTACCAACTCTGATTGGTGCCATGAAGGAGAAAAGAGCATAGTACTTTGAAGCCCATCACAGGAGAGCCCAGCCCCCTGCAGGAGAGAGCTGAATAATGAACAGAGATAAATGGGAGTAGGAGGAAGAGCAGAGACCCTGAGACAAGAACATAAGGGACATCAGAGAAAATTATCTTGGCTGGAGTATTGAAGTTGGAGTTGAGTGGCCTTCTATGGAGCTGAGAAAGTTCACCAGATCATACAAGTTCTCTTTAGCCATGTTCAAGATTGTGGCCCTTCTCCAGAAAATAACATAAAGGCAGTAAATTGGCACGTTTAAAAGATTATCACCTGGGAGGCCGAGGTGGGTGGATCACGAGGTCAGGAGATCAAGACCATCCTGGCTAACACGGTGAAACCCCATCTCCACTAAAAATACAAAAAATTAGCCAGGCGTGGTGGCGGGTGCCTGCAGTCCCAGCTACTCGGGAGGCTGAGGCAGGAGAATGGCGTGAACCTGGGAGGTGGAGCTTGCAGTGAGCCGAGATCGCGCCACTGCACTCCAGCCTGGGCGACAGAGCAAGACTCCGTCTCAAAAAAATATGTATATATATTATCATCACTGCAATGTAGAGAATCCATTATAGGAGGGCAAGAGTGGAAACAGGGAAACAGTGAGGAAGTGTTGCAGTTGTCCAGGGAAGAAATCATGGCAGCATGGACTAAGGTTGTGGCCATGAAGATGGAAGAAAATGGTTAAATAGGAAGGCTTTTGAGAAGGTTAATTAGATTTGAAGGCGGAGGAAGCAGAAGTCAAGGAGGCCTTTCAGATGGCTGGGTACCTGGGTGGATTGTGATGCCGTTTATTTCCTGCAAGAACTGGAAGGGGAGCAGACATAGGGAACATCATCACAGAGGAGAGGAGGGAGCAGCAAGCTGCAGGTAAACCCTGGGACTATTCGGAGACCAGGTGGAAGAGGAGGGTGACTGACTGGGGAGACTGAGGGGAGTGCAGTCTTGCACTGCAGTTCTTGCAGTGGAGGGTGGGAGGGAGTCAAGTGCTTCTCAGAGACCAAGGAAGGAAGGAAGACCTGAAGACTATCTGTTGGATTTGCTGTATGCTACATGGAAGTCACTTGGTGACTTTGGCAAGAACTCTCTGGGTGAAATGACTGAGGAGGCTGATTAGAGTGGGCTGAGGAGTGAGCAGAAAGTAGGGGAGAGGAAAAGTTCAGCCAAGAGGACAGGGAGGAAGGGGGTGGGTACAGAGCCAGGTATGTGTGGTATTGAGAAAATTTGCAACCCTCCTGTGCTCCTTCCCTATTGAAAGTTACTCAGGAATTGGTGACTGCCCTATTGTCTGTCTAGTCCAAGTATCATAACTGTCATCCTTTAAGACTCATATTTCTATTAAAATTCTATTTTATAATACCGGAGTTTTGCTCTATCACTGTATCATGGACAGCAAGCTTATGGAACTTATTCCTCAAAAAGTGGGACATGCTGAAAATACAAACCTAGCTTGAGTTTAGTTATGTCCCTAAATGTTAACTGATCCCTGTGGGTCAGTAGGGAGACAGCTGGCATCCGTTTCCAACCAGCCAAGGATATTCGGTCGACTGTACTGACTGACCACTTTGCTCAGGCCGCAAGTGTCCCTCAGAAAAGCCTGAGGACTTATTAAGGTCATGGAAGGTTGCCTTGGCCAGGAACTCTTTTCTAATCACATGTTTTTGACTTCCCTCTCTAGCCCTAACCGGCAGCCATTTGTTCTCTTTGGTAATCACTCCACACGAGAAAACCTGAATGCTGGCAACTTTAACTTCCCTTCTGAAGGACATCTGGTACGAAGCACTGGTCCCGGCGGGAGCTTTGCCAAGCACATGGTAAGTGGCTGGACTGCCTGGTGCTTGATTAGTTTTATTATCAAGTTGTGGGGGTGGGGTGGGTGGGGGGAGCTAGACAAAAAGAACCTTTTCCAGTTAGTGTGTTGATTTAACCCTGAATTTGAAGTTGTTCTAGAGTGAAAAGAAGTGATTAGAAACTGTTTGTACTTTTTTTATAGTACAAACTAGGTATGATTTGAAAGCATCACATTTAATTTTGAAATACTTGAAGGAAAAAGGTTAAGAACGTAGTTTCACAAACCAGTCTTTAAGTTGTCAGAGTAATATTGTCAATAGAATTTTTAAAATTCAAAATAATTTGAAGATAGTTATTCCAAGCCTAAGTTTGTTATGCCTTGACTGTTAACATTTAAGGACAGAAGCCAACCTTGATGATCATTGTTTATTGAGAGTGCCAGAGAGAAGATTTTTGCATTTGGTGGCAGATTGTCTGCTACATTCTTTTAAAGAAAACATTAGACCTGAATATGAGACTTAGATTGTGAAAGTCTATGCTATCTCAGTGGAATTTTGAGTATTTTCAAAATGTCTCTGGCAATCAGGAAAGCTGTGGTTAGTAGGTACTAGTTTTTTTGTTTGTTTGTTTATTTTTTGAGACAGGGTCTCACTCTGTCACCCAGGCTAGAGTGCAGTGGCACAGCCTTGGCTCACTGCAGCCTTGACCTCCCAGGCTCAGGTGATCCTCCCACCTCAGCCTCCTGAATAGTTGGGACCACAGGCACATGCCACTGTAGGCTTCCTGTCTTCCCTAGGAGAGGGGGAAATAGCTAAGAAACACTTTTGATGATCACAGCCTGGAGACACAGGCCTGCTAAAAGACTGAGATTTAACCGTAAAATCATAGAATGTTTCCCTCCCCCATTACCTTAGCAGAGGTCTACAATATAATAGGGGGTTACTGCTGACAGAGCTGCAAGGTACATCTAAGATGGAGTTCACAGGGAACCCAAAGAAGAAAAATGGGGAAGAAAAATAGAAGAATACTAGAGGGATTTGAAGTCCCTGGCACCTACAGCTTCAGAAAACATTAAACAGAACCTAACTCCCAGCCAGATTAACATAAAATCCCACATTAAAAGTCTGTTTCTTCAGTTCCTGTTACCTGATACATCATTTTTGGCTTTCAACAAAAAATTACAAAGCATGCTAAAAGGCAAGAAAAAACACTATTTGAAGAGACAGTGCGACTATCAGAACCAGACTCAGATATGACTCATATTTTGTAATATACAGATTATTAAAAATGACTATGATTAATGTTAAAGGCTCTAATGGAACACATAGGCAACATGTAAGAAGAGATGAATAGTGTAAACAGGGAGGTGGAAACTTGAAGATAGAATCAAAAGGAAATTCTAGGATTCAAAAGCACTGTAATAGAAGCAAAGCATACCTTTAATGGGCTTATCAGTAGAGCAGACATATCCATGGAAGGAATCAGTAAGCGTGACATTGGTCAATAGAAAATTCCCGAACAGGAGTGTGAAGAGAAGAAAACAATGAGAGAAAAAAAAAATCATCCAAGAACCAGCCGGGCACAGTGGCTCACACCTGTAATCCCAGCACTTCAGGAGGCCGAGGCAGGTGGATTGCCTGAGGTCAGGAGTTCGAGACCAGCCTGGCCAATATAGTGAAACCCCATCTCTACTAAAAATACAAAAAATTAGCTGGGTGTGGTGGCGGGCGCCTGTTATCCCAGCTACTAGGGAGGCTGAGGTGGGAGAATCGCTTGAACCCAGGAGGCGGAGGTTGCAGTGAGCTGAGATCGCACCATTGCACTCCAGCCTAGGCAACAAGAGCAAAACTCCGTCTCAGAAAAAAAAAAAAAAAAAAATCATCCAAGAACCCTGGGACAATTTCAAAAGGTATAATGTGCATGTACTGGGAATACCTGAAGAAGAAAGAGAAGGAAACGGAAGAAGTACTTGAAGTAGTCATGGCCAAGAATTTTCCAAAATTCATGACAAAGACACAAAACCACAGACCCAGGAAGCTTAGAGAACACCAAGCAGGATAAATCCCAAAATATCTATGTGTAGGCCTATCCTATTCAAACTTCAGAAGATCAAAGACAAAGAGAAAATCTCTTAAAATGCCAAAAGGGGAAATAAAACACCTTACCTATAGAGGAACAAGGATGAAAATTCCAGGGGACTTCTTATCAGAAACCATACAAACAAGAAAAGAGTGAAATGATATTTTAAAGTGTTGAATGAAAAAGCACACCAACCAAACCACATTTTATATCCAACAAACTTATCCTTCAAAAGAAAAAGGAGGAAACAAAAGAGAAATACTTTCTCAAACAAAAAAATTGAATTTATCACTAGCAGATCTGTCCTGTAAGAAATGTTAAGTGTTCTTTATGTATGTGTGTGTGTATGTATGTATGTGTGTATATATATTATTATATATACACTATGTATGTGTGCATATATTATATATTTTAATTATATATAACGTAATATATAATATGTATTATATATGTTATGTATTATATATTTTATATATTATATATATATATCAGAAGCTTGGATCCACATAAAGGAAGAGCATCAAAGAAGGAATAAATGAAGATAAAATGAAACCTTTTATTTTTCTTATTGCTAATCTAAAAGATAACTCTCTAATAATAGTAACTGTATAGGTGATTACAGCATGTAGATGAGTGAGTGGCAGCAATGTAATAAGACACAGGAGGGAGGACATGGGAGTACTCTGACACAAGGTTTATGCACTACACACAAAGGGATAGAGTGTAATTTGAAGGTGGACTTCGATTAGTTATTAATTTATATCACAAACTCCAGGGAAACCACTAAAAATGTCCATGTTTCAATTGAAAAATCACTAGAGATCTCAAACTCAATGAGAAAAGACAGTCATCAGTGCCAGCACTAACAGAACACAGATGTGAGAATTAACTGACAAGGATTTTAGAGCAACCATCATAAAAATACTTCACGAGGTCAGGAGATCAAGACCATCCTGGCTAACACAGTGAAACCTGGTCTCTACTAAAAATACCAAAAAAAAAAAAAACAAAAAAAAAGAACCTGGGCGTGGTGGCACATGCCTGTAGTCCCGGCTGCTTGGGAGGCTGAGGCAGGAGAAGTGCTTGAACTTGGAAGGCGGAGGTTGCAGTGAGCCAAGATGACGCCACTGCACTCCAGCCTGGGCAGCAGAGCAAGACTCCGTCTCAAAAAAAAAAAAACAACTTCAGTGAGCAACTACAAATACCCTTGGAGTAAATGATAGAAAGTTTCAACAACGAAATAGAAGATGTGTAGAAAAACCAAATTGAGGCCAGGCGTGGTGGCTCACGCCTGTAATCCCAGCACTTAGAGAAGCCGAGGTGGGCAGATCACGAGGTCAGGAAATCGAGACCATCCTGGTTAACATGGTGAAACCCCATCTCTACTAAAAATAGAAAAAATTAGCTGGGTGTGGTGGCAGGCTCCTGTAGTCCCAGCTACTTGGGAGGCTGAGGCAGGAGAACGGTGTGAACCCGGGAGGCGGAGCTTGCAGTGAGCCGAGATCGTGCCACTGCCTCCAGCCTGGGCGACAGAGCGAGACTCCATCTCAAAAAAAAAAAAAAAAGAAAAAGGAAAACCAAATTGAGATTTTTAAAGTAAAAATAGACCAGGCGCGGTGGCTTACAACTTTAATCCCTGCACTTTGGGAGGCCGGATTACCTGAGGTCAGGAGTTCAAGACCAGCCTGGCCAACATGGCGAAACCCCGTCTCTACTAAAAATAGAAAAATTAGCCAGGCGTGGTGGCAGGCGCTTGTAAAATCCCAGCTGCTCGGGAGGCTGAGGCAGGAGAATCACTTGAACCTGGGTGGCAGAGGCTGCAGTGAGCCAAGGTTGCACCATTGCACTCTAGCCTGGGAGAGAAGAGCGAAACTCCATCTCAAAAATAAATAAATAACAGTAGTCAAATTTAAAAACTCAGTGAATGGGCTCAGTGGCAAAACAGAAATGAGAGAATAAAGAATCAATGAACTTGAAGATAGAACAATAGAAATCACCCATCTGAACAACAGAAAATAGACTGAAAAAAAAAACTGAACAAAACCTCAGAGAGCTGTGGGACTCTCACAAAAAATCCAAATATTCATATTGTTGGAGTACCAGAAGGAGAGGAGAACGAAGATGAGACTTAAAAAATGAAGAAATAAAGGTTGAAATTCCCCCAAATTTGGCAAAAAAAAAAAAAAAAACAAAAACGCAAAACTGTGAATCTGCAAAATCAAGAAGCTGAGTGAACCTCAAACAGGATTAAACCCCAAAATACCCACACCAATACACATCAAAGTCAAATTGTTGAAAACTACAGACAAAAAATATTTTTTTTTTGAAATGGGGTCTCGCTCTGTCACCCAGGCTGGAGTGCAGTGGCTCAATCTTGAATCACTGCAATCTCCGCCTCCTGGGTTCAAGCAATTCTCATGCCTCAGCCTCCTAAGTAGCTGGGACTACAAGTGCGCACCACCATGCCTGGCTAATTTTTGTATTTTTAGTAGAGACAGGGTTTTGCCATGTTGGCCAGGCTGGTCTTGAACTCCTGACCTCAAGTGATGCACCTGCCTTGGCCTCTTAAAGTGCTGAGATAACAGGCATGAGCCACCACGCTCAGCCCAAACAAAAAATCTTGAAAACAGCCAGAAAGAAATAGCACCTTACCCATAGGGGGAAGACAATTTTTTTTTTTTTTTTTTTTTGAGACGGAGTTTTGCTCTTGTCACCCAGACTGGAGTGCAGTGGCATGATCTCGGCTCACTGCAACCTCCACCTCCTGGGTTCAAGCTATTCTCCTGCCTCAGCCTCCCAAGGAGTTGGGATTACAGGTGCCCACCACCACACCTGGCTAATTTTTGTATTTTTAGTAGCGACAGGGTTTCACTATGTTGGCCAGGCTGGTCTCGAACTCCTGACCTCAGGTGATCCACCCGCCTCGACCTCCCAAAGTGCTAGGATTACAGGCGTGACCCACCATGCCCGGCCAACAATTTTTGAGTGAAAGTTGTATTTCTTTCTCATCAGAAACCATGAAGGCCAGAAGGAAGTGGCACCTATATTTCAAATGCTGAAAGAGAAGAGTTGTCAACCTAGAAATCTGTATCTAACAAAAATATCCTTCTAGAATTAAGGGAAAATCAAGACATTCACAGATGAACGAAAACTACAAGAATTTGTTGCTGGAAGACCTACCTAAAAGAATAACTTAAAGAAATTTGGTCTAAACAGAGAGGAAATGATAAAAGAAGGAATCTTGGAACATCAGGAAGGGAAGAGAACAAAATGATCAAGGCAGTGTACCACAGAATTATATACTTTAAAATGGTTTTATCTCAAAAGTTGCCAAAAAAATAAAAATAAAAAACCACCCAGTGTATATCCACATTATAGATTGTATTATAAAAGCAATTTCTGCTCTCAGGTCTGTATCACTCCAAAGCCAAAGAGTTTTCACTCATTAAGTCAGTAATCCTTGTTGAATGTCTAGTAAATGCCAGTCACTGTGCTAGATGAAGGGATAGTCATGATCTTTGCCTTTGAGGATCTCATAGACTTGAAAACTCCAGGGAAAGCCAGCTAGGAAATGTTTGAACCGAAACACATTGCTTCCTTTTTCCTTCTGAGTCGTGAATTTCTTATCATCCTGGGGCTGACTTGAGAGCCAGCTAGGAAATGTTTGGAGCAATAATTTAGATGTCCATTACACGCCTATTAGAATGGCTAAAATTCAGAAGACTGACAACACCAAATGCTGGTGAGGATATGGAGCAACAGGAACTCTGATTTATTGCCGGTGGGAATGCAAAAAGGTACAGTCACTTTGGAAGACAGTTTGGCATTTCCTTACAAAACTAAATATAGCCTTACCATAAGATCCAGCAATTTCGCTTTTTGGTATTTACCCAAAGAATTAAAAACTTATGTCCACACAAAAACCTGCATATGGATATTTATAATTACCAAAACTTAGAAGCAACCAAGATGTCTTTCAGTAAGTGAATGGATGCTATTTAGGGATAAAAAGAAAAGAGCTGTCAAGCCACAAAAAGCCATGGAAGCTCCAAGATTCTGATGTCTGTACTGAGTGGACAAAGAAACTATTCATTTGGAGAGGGAACACTGAGGAGAGTCAGATTGGATGTGTGTGAAGTTCACTTTAGACAGTGAGTTTGAAATGACCGTGAGACACCCCAGTGGAGCTGAGGCGGCAGTGGGTTAGATACATAAGTCTAGGGTTGCGAGGATTAGTCTTGTCTAGAAGTAAACATTTGAGCATTCCCTTGGTATGAAGGGGGTAATTAAAACCAAGGCTGTGGGTAAGATTATCTGGATATATATTGTTACTTATTTATTTCAAAATCTTCCTTTGAATACAAGGATAGGTACCTTTACACCAGACATCCAATGAAGCTGTCTTGAGGTTCTTCTTGTTTTTTATAGTCTTCCAGGAAAGCTCGCAATTGATTCAGCCTGACTTAAAATGTTTTTAAGAGTCGTGCTCTATGACACCAAGGTTTAGACAGTTACTTATTTTAACTACTTAAGACAATCCAAAGTTCTTTCCTGAGAGAAATGTTGACTCTGTGTATAGATCCCATTCTACTGGCCAACACCTGTGCTGGTGTGTTGATCTTCTGACTGAGATAGACTTCAGATTCACGTACTCAAGTGTACACAAGTGAAAGAGAACTGTGTCACTTCAAATCTGGGGTTTAAACCATGTGACTTTAACTCAATTCATAGCACAAACACTTGGCACCTTTAAAAAAAAAACCTTTAATAAGGGAAAATTGGAGATCCAAGGAACATGTTTTAATTGAGGAAATATGTATCAACCAGCAATTAGAAATACCTCCATGAGTTTTCATTCATTGTCATGGCAATATTGATGATGTTCACTATTAGTAACTTTTTTATAGCTTAGTTAGAATAAGTTCTCATTTCCAATCTGTAACTTGGATTCACAATGTTATAGAAAAATGCCTTGAATTCTAGTGTTGTTGTCTTAAACAATTGAGTAAAATAGAAGGAATGAGTATTTGTGTTGTATTTAGCTACTTTTTGTATATTGTACTTACTAATGTTCCTTTAGTTCTTGTGGTAGTATTTTTGCATTTTATACCTATTATTCTAGGAACCCTCATGAGATGTTGGATTTTCAGAAGAGGAAAGGACATCTATTTTATCTCTGTATCAATGAACATCTTAACAGGGAAGAAGAATAAAAATTTGAAAACCTAGAGGAACTTATTTTCTCTTCCGCAGGGTCTATGTACAGAGATGAAATACAAATGGTTGTGGGGATGTGGATAGCACCATCCTTTCCTGAATTTGGAGCTGTCCCACACCTCTGCCTGTCATGTCAGCCAGGGGCTTCACTGTGAAAGCTCTGGACTAAGTATTAATGACAGTCAAAACCCAAACACCTTGCTTCCTTTTTCCTTCTGAATCATGATTGCCCTAGCATCCCTGGGCTAACTGAGTATCCAACAGCACCCTCACAATATAGCCAAGGTTTAAACCACACACACACACACACACACACACACACACACACACCACACGCACACACGCACACACGCATGCACGCACGCACACGCACCAAAAGATACCTTTGGAAAAACAGTTAAAGATCATCTTTTCCCCTGTGTCTTTAAAAAATAATAAATCTGTTTTGTAGAAGAAAATTTATTTCTGGCCAGGTGCAGTGGTGCACACCTGTAATCTCAGCACTTTGGGAGGCCAAGGCGAGCAGATAACCTGAGGTCGGGAGTTTGAGACCAGCCTGGCCAACATGGCAAAACTCTGTATCTACTAAAAATACAAAAAAAAAAAAAAATTAGCTGGGTGTGATGGCATGTGCCTGTACTCCCAGCTGCTGGGGGTGCTGAGGCAGGAGAATCACTTGAACCCAGGAGGTGGAGGTTGCAATGATCTGAGATTGCGCCACTGCACTCCATCCTACATGACAGAGTAAGACTCTGTCTCAAAAAAAAAAAAAGAAAATTTATTTCCATTGACTCTATACTTTTTGTTTATCTACTAGTACATGCCTAAGTTATTGCCCCTTTTTATTTTTATTTTTTTCTGACATCCAGGTAGCCCAGTGTGTCTCACCAAAGGGACCTCTTGCTTGTTCGAGAACATACTTTTTTGGAGCTACTCATGTTCCTTACTTGGGTAAGTCCCTATAAGTTGTCATCTCATCAGCTTATCTAATGAATAGTCTGTCCCATGAACTAGAAGTTGACATACAATTCACTACTTTGCTTGGAAGCTCAGGTTACCCAATTTGTGGGCCTCCAGCTCCCTCTCTGATTACTTCTGGATAGTTGATATGTCTAACACGTTTCTCACAGAATGTGTTTCAAGAGGAAGATGATTGGTGCAGCCTACATTAAGTCTAACCATGTGTATAACCCTTTGCTAGGTGTCACAGGGGAGGCCAAGATGAATAAGACCTAGTTTAAGAAAGCAGGAGGTAGGGACCAGGAATGGCGGCTCACGCCTGTAATCCCAGCACTTTGGGAGGCCCAGGCAGGCAGATCACTTAAGGTCAGGAGTTTGAGACCAGCCTGGCCAACATGGCAAAACCCCATCTCTACTAAAAATACAAAAATTAGCCAGGCGTGCTGGTGCACACCTGTAGTCCTAGCTACTCAGGAGGCTGAGACACCATAATCGCTTGAACTTGGGAGGTGGAGGTTGCAGTGAGCCAAGATTGAGCCACTGCACTCTAGCCTGGGCAACAGAGTGAGACTCTGTCTTAACAACAACAACAAAAAAGCAAGAGGTGGGGTCCGCAGTGGGAATTTGGATGACTCAGCCAGGTGCCCACTGGACTGTTCTTGTGAGGAAAGTGAGAAGAGGCCATAATAAAAGGGTACTTAGGAGCAGGAGCATGCTGTGGGGCCATCCAGAAAGGCTAGGCTTGCTGGGGCTGCCCTGCTTACTGGGGTAACCAGAAGTTGCAGGTATCCAAAGACACATGGAAAAGAACCTATGGAATGAACGCAGGTCTCAGCATTGCTACACAGAGGAGAGTACGTCAGGAACCGTATTTTATTCTGGATGATGTTAAATAAGCCAGGAAACTCTGGAAAGAAGCATAACTTGGGTCAGGTAATTAAGGAGATAAAGCAAGAGGTAGAACTGAGCCTGTTTACTGATGTCTCGAAGTTTAAAAAATTAAAAATAAAAACAAAAACATTCCAGAACCTAAGATTCCACACATCTCTGGTATTTAGTGGTGTTGCTGAGTGGGTTGTAAAAGTGGAAAATGCGGGTGAAGGTTCAGGAGGCTATTGGGAATGGCCGGGTTCCACTGTTGTTGGTGTTTGTACTATATTTAACTTAAAAGAAAAAAGTAGGCTGGGCATGGTGGCTCACGCCTGTAATCCTAGCACTTTGGAAGCTGAGGTGGGTGGATCACTTGAGGTCAGGAGTTTGAGACCAGCCTGGCCAACATGGCAAAACCCCATCTCTACTGAAAACACAAAAATTAGCGGGGCATGGTGGCGTGCACCTGTAATCCCAGCTACTCAGGAGGCTGAGGCAGGAGAATCGCCTGAACCTGGGAGGCGGAGGTTGCAGTGAGCCGAGATTACGCCACTGCACTCCAGCCTGGGCGACAAAGCTAAACTGTGTCTCAAAAAAAAAAAAAAAAAAGTGTAGTTCTTGACAATGCCTTCCAGGTAAATTAAGCATTTCTAGCTTCCTTGTTAAGTGTTTGCATATCCTGTGCTCTTGTCACATTCTTAGTGGGCCTCTTTCACAGGTGGTGACAGCAAGCTGCCCAAGAAAACTGAACAAATGTAAGTCTTCATATTTTATTTTTTCTTTCTCAAAGTTGAGTTACTCAGTTGTGACTGTCCTGTGTACTTCCTTTTGAGATCAACAGTGATTAAGACATCTGCTTTTGCTGGGTGTGGTGGCGCACACTGTAATCCCAACATTTTCGGAAGCTGAGGTGGGAGGATCACTTGAGACCAGGAATTCGAGACCAGCCTGGGCAACATAAGCAGACCCTGTCTCTACAGAAAATAAAAAATTAGCCAGGCATAGTGGTGCACACCTGTGGTCCCAGCTACTCAGGAGGCTGAGGTGGGAGGATCACTTAAGCCTGGGAGGTCGAGATTTCACTGAGCTATATGATTGCACCACTGCACTCTTGGCAACAGAGGGAGACTGTGTAAAAAAAAAAGAAGAAGAAGAAGACATCTGGTTTATGACATGAACATTACTGTGTTGTTTCCCAAGTTTCTCTCAGCTTGGAATTCAGGCCAGAGAACCTTGCCAGCTTTGCCATCTGCTCTTCTCTCTAGATTTCAGAGACTTCTTACCTGCACACCCATGCATTTATGATGTAACTCTCCTTGATATGTTTTCTATATAATGCATTTTTAAATTAAGGGCTTTTCTAAGAATAAACCATCCTGAAATCCATTGGGAGAATCATGTGAAACCCCAACTGGTCTGAAGAGTGTCTTTCTCTGGATTTGACACTTAAGCCTATGGAACATAGTGAGAGGGTGTGAACACTGGCTGTGCAACCTCAGAAAGGGTCTACCTAGTGTTGACTTCTCTTCTTTCACATACAGCAGGAAACCAAAGACAGAAAATAAACTCATTAGTGCTGAAACTATTAAATTCCAGAAAGCATTGTCCTTCAGCAATATGGACATAATGGAATTTTATTATTACCTAATTAAATACTGCAGCTTAACTTGGTGGGGTCTAGATCAACACTTCCCTGTGACCAGCAGTGAGAGGCTACAAAGGATTATCTAAAGATCTCTTTAAAATATAGGTTCTCCAGGCCCAATCCCAGGATTACAATCAGAATTTCTAGGGCAGGGCCCACAAAGTTGTATTGGGAAAAATATAATAGAAGAAATATAATCATACTATAGAAAATATGGAATTAGAGAAACGAAATTAAGATCAGCTATAATTCCTCCTGTCTGGCACTACCCATTAGTATCTTAATTTATATATTTCTGGGACTGAGCGCAGTGGCTCACCTGAAATCCCAGGACTCTGGGGGGCCGAGGCAGGCAGATGGCTTGAGCCCAGGAATTCGAGACTAGCCTGGGAAACCCTGTGGAACTCTGTCTCTACAAAAATTAGCTGGACATAGTGGCACACGCCTGTATTCCCAGCTACTTGGGAGGCTGAGGCAGGAGGATCATCTGAGCCTGGGGAGGTCAAGGCTGCAGTGAGCTGAGATCACACCACTACACGCAGCCTGGGTGACAGAGTGAGTTCCTGTCTCAAAAATGTGCGTGTGTGTCCAGGTGCAGTGGCTCACACCTGTAATCCCAGCACTTTGGGAGGCCAAGGCGGGTGGATCACATGAGGTCAGGAGTTCAAGACCAGCCTGGCCAACATGGCAAAACCCCGTCTCTACTAAAAATACAAAAATTAGCCAAATGTGGTGGCACATGCCTGTAATCCCAGCTACTCAGGAGGCTGAAGCAGGAGAAGTGCTTGAACCTGGGATACAGAGGTTGCAGTGAGCCGAGATAGCGCCACTGCACTCTAGCCTGGGTGACAGAGCAAGACTCTATCTCAAAAAAAAAAAAAAAAAAGGAAAATTGTGTGTGTGTGTATACGTGTGTGTGTATGTGTATGTATACGTATATATCTTTCTGGGCTTTTAAAAAAAGTATTAAGCTGTAATCATAGTGTGTATGTAGTTCTTTTGTGGGTTTCCTTTCCTTAGCAACAAGTCAACCATTTCCTCACGTTGGTGGGTGTAGTCTTACCTTGTGCCTGCTTGTACTTCTGTGCCAGCGCTGCTTAGCCACTGTCCTGGATCCTTATGCTAGACCCTTAAACATTTTGCCTAAACCAAATCCATTGATGCCCCATGTCAGGGACTGGTATTGAGTGGTAACTGGGTGCACATTGGGAGATTTGCCAAATCACAGATCCAGTGGAACATGTGGATTCAAGTGAAAGTGACAACAGAGGCCGGGTGCAGTGGCTTATGCCTATAACCTATAATCCCAGCACTTTGGGAGGCCAAGGCAGATGGATCACAAGGTCAGGAGTTCGAAACCAACCTGGCCAAGATGGTGAAACCCCGCCTCTACTAAAAATACAAAAACTAGCCAGGCACGGTGGCAGGCGCCTGTAATCACAGCTACTCAGGAGGCTGAGGCAGGAAAATCGCTTGAACCCGGGAGGCAGAGGTTGCAGTGAGCTGAGGTCGCACCAGTGTACTCTAGCCTGGGTGACAGAGCAAGACTCCATCTCAAAAAAAAAAAAAAAACAGAGCCATGCAGGCTTTTTAATTTTATGGGTCAGCGGCCATGTGGCTTGTGTATTGATCTCCTATGTAAGGATCAGTATAGGAGAAGACCAAGCAAGGGGAAGGCCTGACCAGTGTTGGTACCGAGTGATGTTTGAATCAGCTGAGGAGGGGGATATCTTTGCATGTCTTTGGGTTTGGCATCTTTAAATGCACCCTTAGTGTCAAAGTGTAGAGGATTCTGGTCTCACCTGGAAGGGGCCAAGCTCATTCACATCTCTCTGCCAGGCCCCTTCCAGGGTATACCCTCTGCCCTGCCCTTGCCTGGCCAGAAGTCTTCAGGATATGTTGATACTTGGAGCTGACATGTCATGTCCTGCATGTGGTGCAGGAGCCAAGGAGGAAATTGAAGGAGGTGGCAATGTGATGTGGCACAGTGGAAAAGCACCAGGCTGAGAGCAGATCTGAGTTTGGGTCAGCCATGAATTTTCTGTGACTTAATAGACAACATATTCCACTTCCAGAGGCCCTTATTGCTTCTTCTATAAGATGAGAGGATTAGACCAAATCATTTCTGTGTTTTTTCCCACTTTCAAACTCCTATCACCTTCCTTTACCTGATTCCTTTACAAGATTCTTATGGGCTTAAAAATAGACACATTTTTAGGTGAGACCTTGTCAGTTCCTTGCCAGATGCCTCTCCTGGCCTTTCAGGGACCCTTGGATGAGCCCCTTCTCTTCGTAAGTGTCCTAAGAAGAGCCTGCACCTCCTTCCTCCAAGGCAGTGGTTCTCAACCAAGGGCAATTCTATTGTACCTCCCTCCCCCATCTTTCCCCACTCCCAGGAACATTTGGCAGGGTCTGGAGAAATTTTTGATTATCACAACTGGAATGCTACCAACATCTAGTGGGTAGGGATGCTGGTTAGCAGCCAGGGGTGCTGCCGAACATCCTACAATGCACAGGACAAACCCCCACAGCAAAGAATTATCCAGTCCTAAATGCCAAGGTGGAAAAACCACCTTAGGTGGTTCCCTGAAATGAACCAGACTGGTTTTTCTAGGGACCTTCGTGGCAGTCCATTCTGGCAGAGAAAAACCCAGCCCTTCCTCAGTCTGGTCATCTCTCTTCTCCCGCTGAGGTCTCCTACCCGGAGGTTCCAGTAATAGACCAGCCTTCAGCAGGTCTAGTGAAAAGACGATATGAAACTACAGTATGATTGGTCCCTGGGAAAGCAGCAAGTGGGTATGAGAACACTGAAGGAATTCCTGCTCTGTAGGTAGCTGTTCCTGCACATAGAGGAGTCAAGGAGTCTACACAGTTTTATTCTGTTTGGTTACAAACAGGGAGGGGCAGTCTCTTGAGCAGAATTCAGAGGAGCCGACTTTCCTTAAGGTGATTTAACAAAAGCAAAGTATAAGTCAAACCAGGGATATGACTTTTTTTTTTTTTTTTTTGAGACAGGGTCCCACTCTGTCACCCAGGCTGGAGTACAGTGACACAGTCTTGGCTCACTGCAGCCTCTTCTGCCTCCCAGGCTCAAGTGATCCTCCAGCCTCAGGCTCCTAAATAGCTGAGAATACAGGCACACACCACCATTTCTGGATAATTTTATTTTTATTTATTTTTATTTTTTGTCGAGATGGGGTTAAGTCATGTTGCCCAGGCTGGTCTCAAATTCCTGGGCTCAAGCGATCTGCCCATCTCAGCCTCCCAAAGTGCTGGGATTACAAGCCTGAGCCACTATGCCTGGCCCAGGCATGTGACTTTTAAAAGGTTTAGAAATCAGTGGGTTATATTTTTGCCTTTTTTCATTCTGTTTAAAAATCAGTTTCTTAGGGGCTGTCATTTATGTGCATGCATCTTTTGACAAAAACCTCATGATGCTGTAATGTTAACCATTATTTTTTGTTTTTAAAGTAGGCTATTGTCCCAGATATATGCTGCTGTTATTGAGGCTGTTTTGGCTGGCATTGCATGTTATGCTAAAACTTCCAGTCTAACAAAGGTAATTTAAATACCATGTTTCCCTTTCTGTAATTATTATTTTAATGTAAAACATTCTATCCATGTGTTTCTTCTTTGGACATCTTGTAGTACTCACTTTTGTGCGAGCTTGGGCCTCTTTGACACCAGGCAGAGAGAAGCCCTGAGAGCACTGAGCTTCTGCTGCCTGTGACTGTGCTGCTGTTGTCTTATGGATGACAACTAATCGGTGCTTCTTTGTAGACATCTGGTTGTGTTAAGGAAAAATCATTCTGTAGCACATTGTTTTGTTGAATAGCTTAAACAAAAGTCTTTTAAAAGCTAAAAAAAAAAAACCAAAAAGACAACTTTAGATTATTCTACTGTGAAATCTAATAAAGTTTGGTAAGTTTGATTTCCTATAACTCAGTGTTTAAAAAAAATAGCTAAAGATTAGAAAATCTGACTTGCTTTTCCTAGACAAGCACATGTGTTCCCGTTCTCTGACCATTATCTTCCTTGCTGTTTTGCGGTTAACCTGCCCTGCTGAGTTGGATTCCTATATCTGACCCAGTAAGGAGATGAGAAGAGTCAGCTTGATGCCTCCCAAATGCCAATAGGACCTTTTCTGAAGGAAGCCATTTGACATTGGAAAGGTTGTGTATGATGTAGATATCAGAGAGACTGTAGCTGTAGTCACCAGCTCCTTGCCATCTCCCCTCCTCACTGAACTTGTATCCCTGGTACTGACTCCGGATTTCTCAGCCCTTTAGCCACTACATGCAGAAGGCTTATCCAAAGCAGTGGGGTGTCCTTCAATATCAGTTCTCACATCTTTGTTTTTTAACTGATCTTTTGTAACTCTTGCTATTTGGATATTCTTAGCATCTGGCTAAAACTCTGAGGGCAGAGGTTCCTTCCCAAGAGCCAAGGAAGAGGGGAGGAGAAAGCACTTTTACAGACCTCACATTCCACTGCTGTCATCACAGCTGGTCACTTCTCTGGATCCAGCACGTCAGGTTCCAGTGCACACCTGCCTGAATGCAGTTTTGTCCTGTAAACCTAGCCTGGAGAAAGCAGGCCCTTCTTTCCCTTAACATGATACTTTCACTTTAATCTATTCATGCCTACCAAGTAGTCACATAGATGGGAAGGACACACTGTAGGGCATGGTGTGATCCTGGACAAGTGTTAGGAGGGCCCTTCCATCAGTGATATGTGTACTTTTTCCTGCTGTGAAAGCTAATTGTCGCTGTCTTATTATTTTACAGGCCAAGGAGGTAGCAGAGCAAACTCTGGGATCTGGGTTAGATTCCTTTGAGTTGATTCCGTTTAAGGCAGCCCTGCGGTAAGCAATGGCTGATATTTTTTATAAGGAATTTTTTTTCTTCGTTTTGGAATATTCTTTTTTCCCTTATAATTTAGATTTCATCTCCCCTTTGAGAAATGTTTCAGTAAAATAATGGGATGTGTGAAGGAGAATCATTCATGATTCAGCCTTCACTTAGAAGCCAAAGAGCCAAAGATGCAGGAACTGTTTGAGAAAGTCACACACATGTTCTGAGGTTAGAATGCAGGGCAGATTAACACCAGCATCACAGGAGATTTGACAAGCCTGGGTTCCAAGGCTAGAAAGGCAAAGCTGGGTACCTGAATGGTGAGGTTTCTAGGGGCAGAGGGCCCTGGGCACAGGAAGATAGTCACTGCTTAGAAGAAACTTGCACTGGGCCTCATCTGTCTCTTGAATGACAGAAACCCTGAGCCTGGCCGTGTCCTGGGGTCTGCATCATCTGAGAATCTGGTGATTTTTCCATCACATCTCCCAGCATGTCACGGTGGTTGTTATCCATAGCTAAATCTTCATGAACCCAGTCCACTTAACCACTGTTTCACGTGAGGACCATTATGTGCACTTTTATACAAAGGATACAAAAGACACCAATACTGGGGAATTTATTTAAGAATACTTCTAGGATGTGTCCTGTGATGCCTCAGGTCTATGTCCCACATTTTCTTAAATCTATAGTCCTGTGTAATAAGAGAGAGTATTTGAAAGATTAGTCAATTAATTGGTCTAACAAAAAGAATTCTATTTCTGCAGCCCCAGGAGTGGAAGAAAGAGCCAGAACTCTGTGGTGCAGGGCTTTAGACTTGCTTCAGGTCTTCTTTCCCCTGGGTCTTCTGGATCTTGCTGCCCTGGCCATGAAAGGGAAAGGATAAAGGAAGTTTGTTCCCTTAAGACCTTGTGCTGCCCTGTGCTATCTGTTTCTGGCCAACCTGAATTTGAGAACGCTTCTTCAGTTTGCATCTGTGTGACCTTGGGCAAGATAGGAACTGTCTGTATCTGCTCCTTCAGCTACCCACCTTGTAAAGCAGTTGGGCACATAGATGTTAGCTGCTGTCACAGTGGGGTATTCTCTTACCATCAATATGGCTGGCATAGTCATTCTACTTCTCCTTTACTTGGGCCCTTGCCTAGGCCACTCAGCCTCCCCAGAGCAGGCCCCCTCTCAGTCCCAAGGCCTCCTAGGCCTAGGTGTCTGCCCTAGCTGGAGAAAGGCACAAGAAGAAAACACCAGTCAATGGGAGAAAAGTCCCCCAGGCCAGTCTTCCACCTAGAGCCCCTCCCCTTTCTCACCACAAAGATTGCTTCACTGAGGGCGGGGCGCAGTGGCTCACGCCTGTAATCTTAACACTTTGGGAGGCCAAGACAGGCGATCACTTGAGGTCAGGAGTTCAAGACCATCCTGACCAACATGGCAAAACCCCGCCTTCATTAAAAATGCAAAAATTAGCCAGGCATGATGGTACACACCTGTAGTCCCAGCTATTGGGGAGGCTGAAGCAGGAGAATCGCTTGAACCCAGGAGGTGGAGGTTGCAGTGAGTCGAGATTGCGCCACTGCACTCCAGCCTGGGTGACAGAATGAGACTCTGTCTCAAAAAAAAAAAAAAAAAAAAAAAAAGATTACTTCACTGAGGACCCTCAAACTGCTTCAGGTTAGCAGATCTCTTTCTCCCAAGAGGGGAAGGAGTGGGAGCCATGAATGCAGACAGTAATTAGTGTGTAGCTATCTAGTATGTGTTAATGCAAGAGATTACACTTACACAAGTTAGAGTAAGCTGAAAGGGTTTTCTAGTTATTTCTCAACTCTGAAGGCCTCACCCATGGCTCCACAGCATTTGACTGTGAGTTGCAGAGACGTGGCCTCTGCTTGCGCTCAGAGCAGGGATGGAGGGTCATTCTCAGTCTGCAGTGAGCAGCAGTCCTCTCATGTCATTTTCTCCTGTTGTGGTCCAAGAGTCAAGACCGTCCTTAGGACTTGCACAGAGGCAGGGCTGTGATTAGAGTCAGATTCTGGCCTCATACCTGCTGGTGGTGTGGGACCCTGGGGAAAGTATCCAAAATAGGGTAAATCTGTGTAAAGCAAGGATGACACACACCTCACTGTGTGGCCTTGAGAATCCCAAGCAGGTACCCTGCACAGGTATCTGAGGAGCAGGAGCAGACTGATTTTTCTTTTGTTTTGTTTCTGGTCTACAGCTCCAAGATGACTTTTCATATACATGCTGTGAATAATCAGGGAAGGTGCGTATATGATTGTGGTGCATCCTTACATGGAGCAAGTTTTAGGAAGATAAAGAGAGGGGAGGCTGCTGACATGAGTGGTTTTCTCATGCTTCCACACCTAGCAGTGACATCACTCCAGGGTTGGGCTTGGGCTGGCTGTGCTCAGCTGAGCCCCTGTACCCTGAGTGCTTCCCACTGCAGAGCTGAGGGGCAGAGGTGGGGATGGACATACTCACCTTAGTGGCCCACATACCAATTCTACAGACATGCAACCCAGTGTTTTGAAAGGCCCTAAGAGCAATCCGAATCTATGACTTGTCATTGCCAAGTTGAAAAAAGCAAACACTGTAAATTTAAGTACACTTAAAAACTCTTTAACATAGTCTTCCATCTCTTTCCCCTCCTAGAATTGTACCGCTGGACAGTGAAGATAGCTTATCCTTTGTGAAGACGGTAAGCAGAGCTATCATGGGTCAGCTGGCTGGGAATGGCCTGTAGAGGGACATCTGTAAGTTGGGAGGTGGGAGTGGGTGGGGGTCTTGGGCAGCCCACCCCACCTGAAGAAGCTGATCTTCTCTCAGTCCTATCCCAGCCATAGCAGGGGTGAGCCTGTGTTTACTGAAGGTACCCAGGTAGCTGTGCTAGGCCCACCCACATCTATTCTCCCTTGCCTAGGCTTCCCCAGTGTCCAGAGTCTTAACTGAGGTGTTGGGAGGCACCTCTTTCTGGGTTATGAAGCCTTCCTACAGGTAGCTGAGATTGCTCTTGTCGAAATGTGAATCCAGGACAAGCTTGCCTTGACTAACAGACTAAGTTTTTCAGTGGCATCTTTGAGTTCCAAGACTTGCATTGATGTCCTTAACAGGAACCTAGAGTTGAGACCAGTCTTGACAGCGTAGTGAGACCCCGTGTCTAAAAAAAAAAATTTTTTTAATTAGGCAGGTGTGGTGGCATGCACCTGTAGCCCGACCTCCTCAGGAGGCTGAGGCAGGAGGATCACTTGAGTCCAGGAGTTTGAGACTGCAGTGAACTGTGATTGCACCACTGCACTCCAGCCTGGATGACAGAGTGAGATTTAGTCTCAGAAAACAAACAAACAAAAACAGGGAACCTGAGAAAATTAACTACAGTCCTGTACCACAAAAGGACATCTTGGTCAACAGTGGACTGCAGATACAACAGTGGTCCCATAATATCATAATACTGTATTTTTACCCACCATTTCTATGTGTAGATATGCCTAAATTCACAAATATTACCATCATGTTATAATTGCCTACAGTATTCAGTATAGTAACATGCTGTACGGGTTTGTAGCCTAGGAGCAATAGACTATACCAGCTAGCCTAGGTGTATAGTAGGCTACACCATCTAGGTTTAAGTACACTCTACAATGTTCACACAGTGATGAAATCAGCTAATGATGCATTTCTCAGAATGTATCCCTGTCATTAAGTGATACATGACTATAATTATTTAAATGGCCAATAATCAACAGGGACCTGGGTCTGCCATGAAGTAGAGTAGTCAGAGCAACGTTTTCCAACCTGTGTGCTGGGGGCATGGTTTGGAGATGCACTGAGATAATGGTCCCTGGGGTGGGATGGCATGGCGAAGGGGAGCCAGAGTTTCTAGGCCAGTTGTTCTCAGCCACAAGCTGAGTCCTCCCTTTACCCCAGAACATCCTGATGTGAAGAAGATTGGCAAATGGTACATGAGAGGGTAGTACATATCTAGCCAAGATTCTGTTTGTGGTGTGTGTTATATCTTGAGTCTGTTCTGTGACCACTGCCTGAGCCTTAGTTTGAAAAAGCTTTGGTCCCAGGGAACTGGGTGAGCAGCACCCAGTGGATAATTTGGTACAAGCGCATCCCCATCACCATCACCTGTGGAAAAGTAACTCAAAAGTTCCTGTCAGTAGTGTTAACCTATCTACAGAGAATAGCACAACAAGGGTAATTTTTTTAAGGTTGTAATTTATGTTTTTATAATGTTCCTGGTCCCCATCTGTCAACATTTTGTGTGGATGTTCTTTTAGAACTAGTTTAGACTTTTTTGTGATATCATTAAAACATTGGGAAATACTTTCTGATATTTAGGTGATAATACTTTATCTCCTTGTTAGACTTTAAATCCCTGACTTCTCTCCTTAGACTCTTGAGCAGTGCTTTGGAAGATGCTTTGCATAGTAGCAGGTGATTAGGAATCCAGTAAAATCATAGTCTTGCGTCAAGTATGCACAGCTAATGAGATAGGAAATAAGAGGCAGGAAGTTGATGCTTTTTGTCTACATTCTGTCCTCTTATCCAGAGATGAAGTTCTATATCCTCCCCAAAGCCTTCCCTGTTGATTTCTCCCTACAAGTATTCCTATAGTCCTTGCAGTTGCAGTTTGTACTACACAAATTAAGAAATAATTATATCCTAATGTGTCATATGATATCATAATGTGTCATATGATGACCTTCATATAAGAATGCCCTTGTTTCTCCAGCTATACATTATAGATTTCCTGAAGACAGGCACCATGCTGTATTTTTTCTTTCCCCGTGCCACATGGTGGGAAGTACATAACAAGTGTCCAACAAATGCTACATGTTATCTTTTTAATATCCTCTCTTCCCTTCCTCAATACCAGTGGCCAAATATGAACATGAAGGATCAGGAACCCCCAGGATCTGTCCACCTGATTGGTCTGGGAACCAAAGACATAGGATTGCCATTGTCACTTAAGAGGGACCATGTAGCTCAGGAGGGTTCTGTGTCTTCAGATGCTCGAAATCCTTTGAGACAGCTTTAGATAAACCTTCCAGTTGTCAAACCTGAAAGGAAAGTTAATTCAAATATAGACGCCTACTTGTCTCTTTTGTATATCCTATTATCATAATAATATGGAAAATTAAGGGCTTTGGCCTTAACTGTGGTTTTTTTCCTTTCAACCTTGTGGCCTCTTTAAGTTTTTATTTGAAAATTCAGCAATCCGTTCAAGAGCCTCAGATCTTTTGTCTCTGTCCTAAGGGGTGGGACAGGCGTCCCAGGCTAGGACGACAATATGTGAAAGTGGACTTAGGAGATCTGCACCAGCACCCACCGCTCACTACTATTCAGGGTAGGAGGGGACAGGTCCTTGTGCTACTTATCCCATGTCCCTCATCAGATCTTCCTGGTCATCACAGACTCTAGCTCTAGCTAACATCATTTTCTCTTTCTTCTGCTGGCTTCTTCCCGGAATTGTTTCATTTTCACTAGTTTTTACCTAATAAATTAGGGCTTTCTTACCAGACATTTGGGAGCTCTCTGAGTTGTTCTAATTTTGTTTCCAGGCTACTGAAGCCTCAGCTTTTATTTGTCTTGGCCATAAAAGCTTGATAGCTTTCTTGCTTTTTTTTTTTTTTTTTTTTTTTTTTTGAGACGGGGTCTCGGTCCGTTGCCCAGGCTGGAGTGCAGTGGCATGATCATAGATCACTGCAGCCTCAACCTCCTGGGCTCAAACAATCCTCCTGCCTTAGCCTCCTGAATAACAGAGACCACAGGCAGACGCCACCATGCCTGGCTATTTTTTTTTCTTTTTTTTTTTTTTTTTTTTTTGAGACAGAGTCTTGCTCTGTTGCCCAGGCTGGAGTTCAGTGGCGCGATCTCAGCTCACTGCAGCCTCCACCTCCCAGGTTCAAGCAATTCTCCTGCCTCAGCCTCCCAAGTAGCTGGGATTACAGGCACACGCCACCATGCCTGGCTAATTTTTTTTTGTATTTTTAGTAGAGATGGGGTTTCACCATGTTGCCCAGGCTAGTCTCAAACTCCTGGGCTCAAGTGATCCACCCGCCTCAACCTCCCAAAGTGTTGGGATTATGGGCATGAGTCATTATGCCTAGCCTAATTTTTTCTTTAGTAGAGTGGGGATCTCACTGTGTTGTTCAGGGTGGTCTCAAACTCCTGGGTTCCTTGACCTCCCAAATTACTGGGATTACAGGCATGAGCCACTGTGCCTAGTCAGCATAAAGCAATTTGAGGGAATATACGGAAACATAAGGATACTTTCCTTATAGCCCAAGGGTGTCTCTGATCAGGGAGCAATTTCAGGGAAGCCTGGGTGATCCTAAAGTCACCTCCCAGTTCAAAGATGTATTTAGGATAACTCCAGTTTTCCCTAGAAACTCTTCAGTACTCTTTTGCCATGTTCCTTTAGGCAGTATTTGTGGTCTCATTCTTATGGACTTCTCTGAAAGTTTTGGGCTGGTAACTGATCTAACTGGTTTCTCATTCAATGCAGGCTTGTATGGCCGTCTATGACATTCCTGACTTACTGGGAGGCAATGGTTGTTTAGGATCTGTGGTTTTCTCTGAATCATTTTTGACTTCTCAGATCTTAGTTAAAGAAAAGGGTAAGTATATGTGATCTTTAGAAAGCAAACCTTAAGCCTTTTTTTTTTTTTTTTGGCAAAATAAACTATAAACTAAGGCAAAAGGCCAACAATAAACTGGTAAAAATATTAGAACTGATGATCACAGCACTGCACTCCAGCCTCAGTGACACAGTGAGACCCCGTATCAAAAAAAAAAAAAAAAGAGAAACATTAAAGATGAACAAAGGGTGTATAACCTAATTTATGAAGAACTCTTCCAAAATTAATAAGAAAAGATAAGCTACCCAATAGTAAAATGAGCAAAAAAAATGAACAGGCACTTCACAGACGTGGAAAACAAAAAAGAGAGGAGGACTATTTATAAATGAAGATATGTAATCTCACTAGTAGTCAAGAAGAAGCAACTTGAAGGCTGGGCGTGGTGGTTCATGCCTGTAATCCCAGCACTTTGGGAGCCCAAGGTGGGCGAATCACTTGAGGTCAGGAGTTTGAGACCAGCCTGGCCAACATGGTGAAACCCCATCTCTACTAAAAATACAAAAATTAGCCGGGCATGGTGGTGGGTGCCTGTAATCCCAATTACTCGGGAAGCTGAGGCAGGAGAATCACTTGAACCTAGGAGGCGGAGGTTGCATTGAGCTGAGGTCGCACCACTGCACTCCAGCCTGGGTGACAGAGTGAGACTCTGTCTCAAAAAAAAGCAATTTGAAACAGTAATTAGATATTATTTTTTTACCTGTTAGGTTGGCAAAATATTCTAAAGATTTATTATATTCTAAGGAATGAAAATATTCTAAAGAATGGTAGAATGAGCCTGATAATTCTCTTTGATCTTTAATATGTATACCTATACTACCTTGATAAAAATTAAAAAGTAGTGGTAAAATGGACTAATTCCCAAAAGTTTTGTTTCTTGGTTTTGGGGTTTTTTTTTTTTTTTTTTTTTGAGACAAGGTCTTGCTCTGTCACCCAGGCTGGAGTGTGGTGGCATAATCTCGGTTCACTGCAACCTCCACCTCCTGGGCTCAAGCGATTTTCCCACCTCAGCCTCCCAAGTAGCAGGGACCACAGATGCGCCACCACACCTGGCTAATTTTTCATATTTTTTGTAGAGACGGGGTTTTGCCATGTTGCCTGCAATCCCAACACTTTGGGAGGCTGGGGCTGGCAGATCACCTGAGGTCAGGAATTTGAGACCAGCCTAGCTAGCATGACAAAATTCCATCTCTACTAAAAATACAAAAATTAGCCCGGCATGGTGGCACGCATCTGTAATCCCAGCTATTCGGGAGGATGAGTCAAGAGAGTTGCTTGAACTTGCTAGGCAGAGGTTGCAGTGAGCCGAGATGGCGCCACTGCACTCCAGCCTGGGTGACAGAACAAGATTCTGTCTCAAAAAAAAAAAAAAAAAAAAAAGAACCCTAGCTCCTGAGAAGGGCATTTAGGGTCTGGGGCCTGCAAGGCAGGCTGAGCTGGTAGGGAATTAACTGGCATGTGTGTGGTGTTCCTGCAGATGGCACTGTTACCACAGAAACCAGCTCCGTAGTCCTGACTGCTGCTGTACCCAGATTCTGCTCCTGGCTGGTTAGTGTCATTCATCAGGTGGAAGTGGACCTACGTGTGGAGAAATCAGGGTGAACACTTGAGGAAGAGCCTCTTTGTTGGGCCCCTGGTGGGATGTCAGGTCCTGAACTAGCTGTTGTTCAGGAATGGAATTTTTGATCCCAGCCCTTTCTCTTTATACAAATGAACATAGTTCCGTTAACTCTCATAATCTTAGAAAAGTTTCAAAAGAAAGGAACAAAGTTACGTGGGTCACTGTTAAATTAGGAAAGGAAGAAATTAAGAGCCTCATTTTACAAATGAGGAAACTGAGCTTAGGAGTTGAACGGCCCGGCCAAGGTCACACAAATCATGAGAAGTGGATCCCGTGACTTGCTTCCCTGGTAGAGTGGTTGCTACGGAGTTTTTACTGCAACATCTCTCTGCTAGTAGAAAAGTCCCATCTTCCGCAGTGGGAGGGACTTGGTCTGAAACTGGGGCCTTGGAATGTAAAAGGTGTGACAGCAGTTAGTCTGCTAATGGGCTGAGTCCCTTCTTGAGAGTGCTCACATTCTGCTTCTACAGTTCCCACACAGACAGGGAAGACCGAGAGTTATCCTCTAACCTAAACGTGTTTAAATCTGAAAATATTTTAATACATTATCTTTGCTTCATCCCTAAAAACAGTTGTTTTTTTCTGAAGTGAAATACAGGTGGAGACTAACACATCCCCTCTGCTTGTCATAAGCTCATTAGCTGGACCTCAGGTCCTAGTGAGAGAGCCCACCAAGGCCTTGGGCTCTGAGCCCAGGTGACCAGCAGACATCTCAGGTGTGTCAGGGCCTGAGAGCACTGGACATGGACATGGTGGAAGGACTGTCCAGCCAGTGTCCTGGAAATATTTGAACACAGTGGGGAGACCTAGCAGGGTTTTCCCTTGAAGTAGTTGACTGAAAATCTGCATTCCTTTTGGACACAGGTGGAAGATAATGAAGTAAAATTGTCTGAGAAAACCCAGCAAGCAGTGAGGGTAAGCAGCCTTCTTATTCTCAGTGTGAACATTATATCAAAAAATAATGTAAGCAATTCATAAAGGTATTAAAATGCTTCATCTCACTACTAATCTAAAAGACTTGCACTATGTTGTCTTCACTTCCTATTTGCATTCCTCCCCTTCCCAGCAGAGCTTTAGAAATAACCATTTATGGGGGATACAATTAGAGGGATTCTTTATTCCATCAGGGCCTTCTGGTGTTCTTTTAAAAATCTCCCCATAATATTAAAAGCAGATCCCAGATTGGCCTAGACATGTAGAGCTGAGACATCAAGGCTTTAGGCCAAGGAGAAGCTGCCTCTGTTTTCACAAAGGAAATAAATCCACTGGAACATGAACAAGCATTGCGGGCTTTGATGCCTGGACTCAGAGAGAATCTTAATGTTCTTTTTCTCAGCACAAATCAAGGATGCCAGTAACTGCCAAAGAGCCAGACAATGCCAAAGGCCATGGAATACATTGGGCATATCTGAGCCTGACTCAGCTTTTGTAGACGGACATAATTGGGCAGGACTTTTGATTCTGTGAATATTTATGCTATAAATCACCTATTCTTTTTTGGATTTTTGTTTTTGTTGTTGTTTTTAAAGGGGGATGAGTCTTTCCTGGGCACTTATCTAACAGGAGGAGAAGGAGCATATCTTTATTCCAGCAATCTACAGTCCTGGCCTGAGGAAGGTAAGGAGCTATGACTTTAATGTTTTTGGCCATGTCTGGGTCCCTCATTTGCAGATGTCAGCATGGGTGTTGTAATTAATAATACATCTTCTATTTGAACACAATTGTGGTACAGAAATGTTTTCCTACAGCTTTTCTCTCGACCCACCCACTTTGTAGATGAGGAAATTTATGCTAGGAAGGGCTGATCACAGAACTGTACCTGGTCCTTTTGTTGCTGCCTGAGGTTAGTTAGCTCTCTCAATGGGCTAGGGCAGCAGCATTTCCAGAAATAGAATTTGTGGACCTAAACAGAAGCTGGATTCATTTCTCTTGCTGTGTAACAAATGACCACAAATTTAGTAGCTTAAAACAACACCCTCTTATTATCTCACAGTTCTCCAGGTCAGAAGTTCAGGCAGGCTTGGCTGGACCCAGATCTCTTGAGGTCAAAATCAAGGCATCAGCCAGGCTAGGCTCTTATCTAGAGCCTCTGGGGAAGAATCTTCTCCCAATCTCAGCAAGGATGTTGTTTCCTTTCGCTTGTAGGAATGAGGTCCCCATTTTGTTGGTGGCTGTCAGACAGGGATCCTCTCAGCTCCTCCTCCCAGAAGTCCTTGCTCTTGTGACCCCCTCCATCTCAGCTATAAAGAACCTTCTTGTATTGAATCTCTCACACACTTTGAGTCTCTCTAATTCCTCTTCGGCTATCAGCATGTCAAGTTTTTGCCTATCCCAGCCCACCCTCTGCCCCCCATAATTCATGTCCCTTGTTACCTCCTCCCAAGGGTCTCATCCCATTATGGCTACAGTTCAAAGTCCTAAATCTCATGGGCTTAAATATCTAAAATCTCATGATCAAGCTCATCTAAGTCCCATGTAAATGAGGCTTGGGAGTGTAATCTGTCTACAGCTCCTGAACATAGTTCTCTCCATGTCTGTGGACCTACGAAACTAAAGAGACAAGTCATCTGCCTGCAGCCCTCCCAACATGCAAGGTGGGACTGGCATAGACTTCAGGTTCACAAAGAGGAAAAACAGAAGGTAAAAAGGAGTCACCAGCCCATGGCAGCTTTGAAATTCAGCTGGGCAGACTTCAGTTCCTTGATAAGGTTTCAAGGCCTGGGAATAATTCTGGCTCTCAGCTCTGCCTCGGTGCTCTTGGTTCTACCCTGTTTGCTCTTGGTTTGCTCTGGGCTCATGGCTCCACCCTCTGAGCTTATAGCTACACCGCTGTCATCCTTCCTTTTTCAGTGAAAGGTAGTACTTTGTTTGTAGCTGAGCAGTTTTAACAGCCTGCCTCTTGCCAGTAGAATTTTGAGGGTCCAACAGTCTCCTTCAATTTTATATGTTATCTGTCCCTTTCAATCCAAACTGGCAGTGTTTCTGCTCATATGAAATCCTCAAAAACCTTGTTGGTCTTGCATGGATTTTACAGGGATTTACTGCAAGTTCCTCTTTGGCTTCCTCAAAATAACATTTTCTTATGACTCCTGTTCTTTCCCTGTTGAATATAGCCTTTATGTGAGGGAGGAGTTCTGACTTACTCTACAAATTCCTCAACCTCTACTAAGCAAATCCCCTTTCTGGATGATTTGTTCTTCTTGTTGAAAATATTCTATCCGGTGGCAAATTCCTCTCCCTGTTCTCAGATCACTGGTTCAGCTTCTGCCCCTTCATTCACACAGAAGACAAAGCACAAGGAGTTCTGGTTTTCTATCCACATACTGCTGGAGTGGTAATGGCATTTGTTAACACATCTGTCCCTGCACTTCTGCCTCTCCAGATCCTGGTGCAGAGAACCCAGGAGTTAAGAACATTTGCTGAAGGCAGGGAGTATGTGGTAATACTACCAGCCTTGAGGCAAGATTGCATAGTGTTTTGAAAGCAGATTGTAGGCACAACACAGAGGTGGTTTGTGCTGTGTCATCCTTGAGCCAATTATAATATTTAGCCGGGATATTTGCCAAAATTAGTTTGCACCTTCTTAGCAGAGGGCCTTGTTAGAAAAATAGTCTTGCATTGTATTGAGTTATCCAGCAAGATTCAGTGTATCCTAAGGTCTCTGTGCAAGATAAAGGGCACAGCCAGGGATTTCTGGAGGCTTATTAGTCATAGTCTTTTGATAACTTAAATTTTAAACTTTCTTTGTTGCTGAGGGGAATCTAGTTTGAATTAGGAGATGGTTTTCTGAGGCAGGGAAATTGAATAGAAGCAGAGAATTTAAACAGGAGTCTCCCCTTCCTGTGGATAAGCATTTTACCACTTTGGGATTCAGATCAGGAGCTGATGTAGGTTTTGTGGGGCTTGAAGTTTGTACCATTTGTGGACTCTCTTGAGGAAAATACTACAAAATGATTAGGGCTCTTCTTAGAGCCTTAGAAGGGGACTTGGGCAGGTAAGGGGTCCTGAAGTTCAAGTGTCTTTAGTGTCTTTGTCTTTATAAATCTGCCTTTACTTGGGACTGTGATGAGTTTGAAATTTATCTGTTCCCATCCCCTGAAGGTACTTATCTTCAGCTCCTCAGGATGCATTATCTTTATTGATCTTCATATCCTGAGTCCCATAGAAGGTGAAAACTCGCCTGATGTTGTGCAAGTTGTTATTTTTTCCATACTTTTTTTTTTTTAAAGCCCCCTCACCCTGACTGAGATGTAGTACAAGTTAATGGCAGCATCTAGAGGGTAGTCCAGGTCTGGAGGATAGTACAGGTCTTCTGATTTTTCACCCAGCAATTACTTACAGATGAAAAGAATAGTACTTCCTGGCAGGGTGTGGTGGCTCATGCCTGTAATCCCAGAACTTTGGGAGGCCAAGGCGGGCGAATCACCTGAAGTCGGGAGTTCGAGACCAGCCTGACCAACATGGAGAAACCCCGTCTCTACTAACACTACAAAATTAGCCAGGCGTGGTGACGCATGCCTGTAATCCCAGCTACTCGGGAGGCTGAGGCAGGAGAATCGCTTGAACCTGGGAGGCAGAGGTTGTGGTGGGCCAAGATTGTGCCATTGCACTCCAGCCTGGGCAACAAGAATGATCTCTGTCTCAAAAAAAAAAAGAAAAAAAAGAAAAAAGAGAATAGTGCTTCCTTTACCTTGAAGTTTTTTTCAGCTCTAGAACTGTTTCTCTTCACCAGTTAGTGGTGTCTGCTATCACAAGATGTCTTGCTTTTCAACTTCCCATTCATTCGTGTCCTTCATGTGCCCTTCTCTTCCCCGCCCTGCTGTCTGTGGCCAGGCAGGCTGCCCAGTACCTAATCCTCAGGAACCTGCTTTAGAGTTTTACCACACATGCCTATATACCTAGACAATATCTTATTTTGAACTTAATACAAATAGAATCATAATGTAGACCTGCTTTTTTTGCTCAGTATTCCTAGGATTCATCCAGTTTGTTGTATGTAAGCCATATAGCTTACTCATTTTCATGGCCCTATAGTATTCCTTTGTATGAACATGCAGTATCATTTTGACTCTTTGTGGACATGTGAGTTATAGTTTTTGTGCTAGGTGCAGTGGCTTGTGCCTGTAATCCCAGCTTCTCAGGAGGCTGAAGTGGGAGGATCACTTGAAGCTAGGAGTTCAAGACCAGCCTGGGCAACAGAGTGAGACTCTTGTTTCTACAAAAGAATTTTTTAAATTAGCCAGCATCTGTAATCCCAGCACTTTGGGAGGCTGAGGCAGGAGGATTGCTTGAGCCCACAGTTCAAGACCAGTGAGACCCCATCTCTACCCAAAAAAAAAAAATTAGCCAGGCATGGTGGCATATTCCTGTAGTCCCATCTACTTGGAAGGCTGAGACTGGAGGGTGGCTTGAGCCCAGGAGTTCAAGGCTGCAGTAAGCTATGATCTCACCACTGTACTCCAGCCTGGTTGACAGAGCAAGACCCTAACTCTAAAAAATAAATAAGTAAATATAGGCTTTTTTTGGTATTGCAGACTGTACTGTTATGAGCATTCTTGTGCATGTCTCTTGGTCCACATGGGCAAATGTTTCTGTAGGGTTGGAATGAAGAGTAAAAATTTGGAATTTTAGTATGAGCCCACATATGGCTTTTTTTGATGAGGCCAGACTGTTTTACAAATTGATTGTCCCAAATTATACTTCCAGCAGCAGCATACAGGTATTTGAGTTTTTCCATATTCTGGCCAACACTTGCTGTTTTGCCAGTTTTGCCACTGTGGTGAGTGTGCAGTGCTGTTATTATTAGGATTTTAATTTACATTTCTCTTATTATTAGTGAACCGTCTTTATTTATTGGCCAAGCTATTATACTTCCCTTCTGTTAAATGCTTGTTCTTGTTTTTTGCTCATGTTTCTTTTAGATTGCCTTTTTCTTGTTTATTTTAGGAATTTTTTTTTTTTTCTTGAGACTAAGTCTCACTCTGTTGTCCAGGCTGGAGTGCAGTGGCGCAATCTCAGCTCACTGCAGCCTCTACCTCCCAGGTTCAAGCAATTCTCATGCCTCAGCCTCCCGAGTAGCTGGGACTACAGGCGTGCACCATCAGGCCCAGCTAATTTTTGTATTTTTAATAGAGACGGGGTTTCGCCATGTTGGCCAAGCTGGTCTTGAACTCCTGACCTCAGGTCATCTGCCCACCTCGGCCTCTCAAAGTGCTGGGATTACAGGCGTGACCCACTGCGCCTGGCCTATTTTAGGAATTCTTTCTTTCTTTCTTTCTTTCTTTCTTTCTTTCTTTCTTTCTTTCTTTCTTTCTTTTTCTTTCTCTTTCCTTTCTTTCTTTCCTTTTCTTTTTTCTTTTCTTTCTTTCCTTTCTTTCTCTTTCTTTCTCTCTCTCTCTCTCTGTTTCTCTCTCTTTCTCTCGATCATTAGTTCGTTTGTTCATCTTTCTTTTCTTTCTTGATGGAGTTTCACTCTTGTTGCCTGGGCTAGAGTGCAATGGCACGATCTTGGCTCACTGCAACCTCTGCCTCCCAGGTTTAAGCGATTCCCCTGCCTCAGCCTCCCGAGTAGCTGGGATTACAGACATGCACCACCATGCCCGGCTAATTTTGTGTTTTTAGTAGAGGTAGGGTTTCTCTATGTCGGTCAGGCTGGTCTCAATCTCCCGACTTCAGGTGATCTGCCTGCCACAGCCTCCCAAAGTTCTGGGATTACACGTGAGCCACTGCGCCCAGCCAGGAATTCTTTATAGATTTTGGATACTAATTCTTTGTCAATTCAGTATATTGCAAATATTTTCTTTCACCTGGTGGCTTGTCTTTTTATTTTATTTCTGATGCTTTTTCATGAATAAAAGTTCTTAGTTTTAATGTAATCAGGATAATTAATCATTTCCTATGTGATTCATATATTTTAGATCTATTGAGACTTTTCTGTTGAATTATAAAAATATAATTTTTCAAAGAATCCACCTGGATTGCTCTGTGAAAGTGATATGAGATAGAAGTCTAAGTTCATTTTTTAAATGTAGGTAGCCACCTGTCTCAGCAAAGTTATTGAAAAATCATTGTTTTCCCACTGATCGGCAGTGCCAGCTTTGTTATAAATCAAGTCTCTTTATGTGTGCATCTATTAATAGGCTCTCTGTTCTGTTCCATTGGGAAAGAAAATAACACATTGTCTTATTTTAGATAGATAACATATTTCTATATGGTGACTTAGTCTGCTTGGGATGCCATAACAAAATACCACAGAGTGAGTGGATTAACAGTAGGAATTTATTTCTCACAGTCTGGAGGCTGAGAAAATTATAACACTATACTAAAAGGCATTAAAAATGACATAAACACACATCCCATTCATGGACTGGAAAACTCAGGTTTACTTACTTGACATGGTAAAAATGACAATTCTCTCCAAAGTGATCTTTAAATTTAACATAATTTCAGGAAAAAAAAAACCAACAAGTTTTTTGAAAATCCTGAAAAGCCAACATAAAAATGTCAATAACTTTGAGCAAAGTGCTAAGAACAGCCAAGATACTCCTGAAGAAGAAAAACAAGGTGGGAACTTGCCTTATCACATTAGAGACTGAATGTTTGTGTCCTCTCCAAAATTCCAGTGTTGAAGCCTTAACCCCAAAAGTGATGTTATCTGGAGATGGGGCTTTTGGAAGGAAATAGGGGTTAGATGAGGTCATGAATGTGGGACAAGGTCTGTTGGGATGTGGTGCCCTTATAAGAGCTACCAGAGAGCTTAGCCCCTACCATGTATGCATGGAGGAGGAGTCATGTGGGCATGTGGCACCACACCTGGCTAATTTTTTTTTTTTTTTAGTAGAGATGGAGTTTCACCATGTTGGCTAGGCTGGTCTCAAACTCCAGGCCTCACGTGAAGCTCCCACCTCAGTCTCCCAAAGTGCTGGGATTACAGGCGTGAGCCACTGTACCTGGCTGGAGGGAGCCACCGCACCTGGCTGGAGGGACACTTTAAAAATGAAGGTTTTGGTCTGGCACGGTGGCTCACACCTGTAATCCCAGCACTTTGGAAGGCCGAGGCGGGCAGGTCACCTGAGGTCAGGAGTTCGAGACTAGCCTGGCCAGCGTGGTGAAACCCCATCTCTACTAAAAATACAAAAATTAGCTGGACCGTGGTGGCGCATGCCTGTAATCCCAGCTACTTGGGAGGCTGAGGCACAAGAATCACTTGAACCTGGGAGGCGGAGATTGCAGTGAGCAGAGATGGCACCACTGCACTCCAGCCAAGGCAACAGAGTGAGACTCCATCTCAAAAAAAAAAAAAAAAAAAGTAAAGTTTTGTACAGCACTGAGCATGAAGGAACTGTATAGCTGCATATTACTTGTAACATAGGTCACATTCAGGAACAGAATGTCAGGAGAAGTAAGCAAGTCACAGAAGAATACATGATTAGGATTTCATTTATATAAAAACACAGACAAAACTAAGTAATACACAGTTTACAAATACATTCAAGTGTGGTAAAACCATCCAGAATTCAGGATGCTGTTCCCCCTGGGTGGAAGAGAAGGGCTCTCATTGAGGAAGGACATCCAGGGGGTTTCAACGGTGCTAGTAATGCTCAATTTCTTAGGCCCAGTGGTGAGTTCATAGACATCTGGGTTTTGTAGTTGTTGCTTTAGTTTTTTTTTTTTTTTTTTTTTAAACCTTGTGTGTACATTTCACACACATTTATAGACACAGGATGAAAATCATCTAGCCATTGCATCATAAATTTCCCCAGCAGTGATAAATGTTCCCTCCTCACATAGACTGGGCTGTTGGAAGATTTTTATTTGTACAGCCAGTTTTCTGAAAGAGGAAAGCGAAATTCTTCTTTGGCATTTGCTTGGTATTTTGGTTTACCCTGAGGGCCCATCCCTCTTTTGTTGGACTTCCAGGGATACAGAGCTCAATCAAAGACAACCAAACTGCAGTCCTCCTGGTTTTGGGACAATAATGGGAAACTTCCTCTTATCCTGGGTTTTCAGACTTACAGAATGGAGAAGGAAGGACAGAGTTCATCCACTAAGGACACCAAGGATGGCACAAAGAGTCAGGGAGATCTCCTCAGGAGTTGGCTGCCCTGGCCCCTGTGAACCCCTGCAAAGGTATGGCCCTCAGACCACTGTCTGACAGTCAAGAGTCCAGAGCAGATACCAGAAGGGTTATTGCTTCAAGCAGATGAGGATCTGAGACCAGAGCACAGGCACTGGGCCACCCAGTAAGTCACTTCACTTATCTCATGTGTGCTCTGAGAATAATGGCAGAGTTACTGCTCATAGAGCCAGGCTAAGGGGCAGCTGCGATCACAGGACAGATCACAGGACAGTACTGAAATCAGATCCTGTTTACTGAGACCTTGCCTTGGCTCATGCCCCATAATGAGCTCTTCCAGCACTGTCTTGTGAATTTGTCTTCCTCTTTTCCATTTTGTTTTGAGGCTTCAGAGTCTAGTGGGAGAGGAAATGCTGGAGATGACCTCGCTCATCCTTTCCCATCTTCCTATTGAGTAAATGGAATGTGCCAGCTTCTCCAATCTGTGCTTTTTTCTGGAAGCTTCAGGATTTTGAGCTTTGTCCAGGAGGCCTTTCAAGTGGCACTGGACTTGTTTCTAAAAAGGTTCACTTCAAAAGTACAAATGTAGAGGGATACCCAGGACAGGGAAGGGTGCAGGTACTAACCACTCAGCAGCAGGAGCAGTTTCTACCTCGTGACACCTATGGAGCCCTCTTATCTCTGGAAACAGTAAGTAGAGTCATCTTGTGGCAGGAGTTGGTGGGGTTGTGGTTTTAGGAGAGTGTTGAAGGTCTGGGATGAGCTCTGTGGGCTGATGGAAGGAGTGGGGAGACAGCAGTGAACAGGCTACGGGGCAGCACTGTGGCCTGTTGTGGTTGAGGGAGCAGAGAAGGCACATCTACAGATTCACCACAGCTGGGCTTTGGACAGGGGAGAATTGAAAGAAAAAAAACATGAGAGAACTGAAGGCACCAGCATGGTATAGTGTCTTTGGCATCAGACAAACCTGTGTTCTGTACCTGGCTCCACCACCAAGTAATGCTGTGATTTTGGGGGAAATCTCTCTAAGCTTGAGTTTTCTCATCTGTCCTATGAGAAAAAATAATACCACCTGTTACAATTGTGAAAACAGAAAACTATAATGTATGACATGTGTGGTGCTTAGTAAATACTGCGTGAAACCTGTTCCCATTCCTTTCTTTTAACAGAACAAAGATTAAAGGTTAAGTCCTGTCCCAGAGGATCTGCCCTTGATGTGGATGAGAAGAATATCAGAAATTTCTGAGCAATAGGGGAAAATGCGAATACCAATGACTGTGAAGGCTCAGTGACATCAGAGGATGGGGTGTGGGGAGGGAAACAGCTAAAAGGGGGATGGGGTGCTGGAGTCAGAGAGTAGTTGCTGGGCTGGAGATTTCAGAAGTCATGACATTCTGGGTGCAGCTTTACTGCTCTAAGAAGGAATGGGAGTGTTGGCATTGGAAGGGAAGACTGAGCACATTCAGAGTGATTTGAAATATGGCATGGTCAGGAGGGCAGTAGGTGTGAGCAGTAGAGGGAGGGGCTTGTGTCTCTAGGGGAATGAAAGTAACATGCTGTGGTGTTGGGGAGACTGGCCTGGGAGCAGCATGGAGGAACTTTAGGGTTGGTACAGGATGAGGCTGGGGCATGATTAGCCTCCTTTTCAGAGGGCCTCAGGAAAAGGCAGTGTGCACAGAAAGCCAGGCTACTTGTTGGAGGGTAGAGGTTTCCAGAGCTTGAACCTAGATAGTCGCTGGCTGTGGCTGCCACAGATGGTAAGGTTGGCATGTCCCTCTGACGGGGCATCTGGTTCTTCCATGAGAGGCAGGTGCCAGTTCTTCTTCTTGTACCTAAAAACTGCCTCCTTCTCCCTTCACTTCTCCTGTCCCCTGTGAACACATACTAACTAGGCCCCTCCCTTCCTTCTGAAACCTCACCTCCTCAGGAAGCCCTCAAAGCTTGCAGTCTCCAGATTCCTCACCCAGGATGTGAAGGCAGCCCTCAGACTCCTGGCCTTTGCTATTCTTGTCATTCCAGCCTCCAGAGCTTTGCACTGCTTTTCTGGAGCTACAACTTAAGGAATCAATTTCACTTATTTATCTCTTGGCCTTTGCCTTGGCAGTGAGGTCTTAATGACAATAAACTCAAACCTGTGCCTTGAGCTTTAAGAACTACTTCATCTCCCTCTATATGCGGAAACATGGAAAGAAAAGCTGTTACAGGAATAGAAGATTCAGCTTGGACCAGCCCCAGAGAGCAGCTTCACCTAGGAGTCTTATGGGTGCTTTGGGTGCTGCTTTTGTGTCTCCAAAGCAAGCCCAGGCCCAGCATTAATCTTTGTCATCTTAGTTGTCCATCTTTTCCATGGTCTGCTCCCTAGGGCCTATACTGAGCTGCTCCATATGACCTTGACCATCCAGGAAACAACAGCTCTCCTTAGACCTGAATCCTTGTTCCGAGGAACCCACATCCATGTCCACCTGTCACCCATCTTGCTTTTGTGAACTACAGAAGAGCAGCCCCCCAGTGTCTGTAGAACTTACTCATTACCTAACTCAAATGTTCTGTTGCTGGGCACAGGGACCTTAAGCTCCCTTCACCAGTCTTCAGCTGAGACCCAAGTGCTCCTTCTCGGGCCCTAAGTGAGGGATGTGGTCTCTTTAGGGCCGAGCCAGCTTCTGGCAAAGCAGAAGAAAGGAAAATCTGTAAACTCAGTAATGGAGCAGATATACCCAAAGTCTTTTTTAGTGTGTTTCCGTGGAAGATACCCATAAGGTAATGTGAATTTTGCTTCTCCCCATTAGCTGATAGTTTATTCACTTGTTTTTCTAATTCTTATGCAAAGACTGCATCTGATGCCTCATTTCCCTCTGAGGCTTTGGGAGGTTACTTTGGCTTCCTCAGAGCACAGGGCTCAGCATACAAATCGCATAACGTAATTGCTACTGATACTGGCCTCTAGTTACCACACTGCTGTACAAGAGGACATTGGAATCTGACCCCCAGCACCCAGCCCTCCAGCTCTGACCAACTCTCTTTTCCTTCCAGGGAATGTTCATTTCTTCTCTAGTGGCCTTCTGTTTTCTCACTGTCGTCATAGAAGTATCATCATTTCCAAGGATCACATGAATTCCATTTCCTTCTATGATGGGGTAGGTGTTTTACTAGTCAGTGGCTTTTTTGGTCGGAAAGTTGCTCACACTTTTGAGGGGAAAACTAAATAACTCCTTTCTCCCCTCCACTACCACAGGGCAGTATGTCAGGAACCAGCACAGCCACTGAGGCAGGCAGGGAGGGAGGTCGTGGAGAGGCCTGGGCATTCTCAAGACGCTTACGAGCCTCATCAACCTCACTGCTCTGTAAAGGGCTTACCTAGAAAGGGCTTCTGGTCAGAAGGGCCAGCAGCTCCCCATGCCCAATTCATTCACCCTAAAGAGGACTATAAAGCAGGCTGAGAAGGCCTCCAGTGGCCCCTCTTGGGTGGCCTCCAGGTCCAGGGGCTCAAGGCTCACCCACTGAAAAATCAGAAAGGAGCTGCATCCTGTGGTATTGATGAGGCTCAGCATACACATTAGCATGGACAGGATTGTAAGTGAGCCAGAGAGGGAGAGAAATGGCTCACTTTCCCCGTGAGAGTTTAGCCCCTCCTCCCTCACACACCCAGACTTCCTCTCCAGCTCCATAAAAGTTCCACTGTCCTATAACAATCCTCTAAGTTCACCAGTCTGCACCAACACTTCCCATTCACCTTAAGGGGAAGATGGTAGCTATGGGTTTCCCCTAGCCTTTACCCTGTGGCCAAGGCACAGCTCGTCTCAGTGCAACACCAGAGCAGAGGGCAGGCCCACCACTCTGCCTGGTCTCAGCCTCAAAACCAGTCTGTCTGGGAGCTAGGACAGAGACTATGTGAGGTATTTTGGTCAGATGGCTCAGAAAACGAATTCTGTGAGCAAGTTTTTCTTCCATATAGAGCCTGCAGCCTTAAAGGCTGTTCAGAAATGTAGGCAGACCAATTGGACACATTGGATGGCCCTATTAGATTAAAGTGTTGCTGTTAGATTAAAGAGTCTTCCAATATCAGGGAAGAAAGAATGCATCATGAAAAGCACAGTACTGGGATGATAAGTAGCTAATTTCGACAAAAAATAGACTCTTACCTCTACTAAAAATCAAAATGAACTTCTGAGGGATTAAAATTAAATATATTTAAATTTCACAAATAGAATATAAAAATGAATATTTATTAAACCTCTAGGGGTTAGAAGACTTCTGAAGCTTAGAAACAATACAAGAAATTCTAAAGGAAAAGTTTGTCAAATTTGACCAGTTACTGATTTTTTTTTTTTTTTTGAGACAGAGTCTCGCTCTGTTGCCCAGGCTGGAGTGCAGTGGTGCGATCTCGACTCACTGCAAGCTCTGCCTCCCTGGTTCACGCCATTCTCCCGCGTCAGCCTCCTGAGTAGCTGAGACTACAGGCGCCTGCCACCACGCCCGGCTAATTTTGTTTTTGTATTTTTAGTAGAGACGGGGTTTCACTATGTTAGCCAGGACAGTCTCGATCTCCTGACCTCGTGATCCACTCACCTCGGCCTCCCAAAGTGCTGGGATTACAGGCATGAGCCACCACACCCAGCTGACCAGTTACTGATTTTTAAAAATTTTATGCTGATAATTTAACTTATTAAAGTATACTGTAAATACAACTAACTGTATCCATTTAAAGGTTTGGCAGATGTGTACATTCATGAAACCACCTTTACTATCAAACCAAAATGTTTTCTCATGCCCTTTTTCATCTTTCCCTCCACTCCTGGGTTCAGACAACCACTGATTAGCTTTTGTCCCTATATATTAGTTTGCATTTTCTAGAATGTTATATAAATGAACATCATCTATTCTGTAACCTTTGAGTCTGACATTTTCCACTCAACATAGTGATTTTTAGATTCATCCATGTTGTGTATGTAAATAGCTGTGTTCTCTTTATTGCTAAGTAGTATTCCATTGTATGGGTATATCATAAAATTTGTCAGACTAATTAGTAATGCAAAAACCCTTTAAAAAGTATTTTAGGGGATGGGGAGGGGTAGATCGATGAATACAAAGTTAGAAAGGATGAGTAAATTCTAGTGTTCTGTTGCACAGTAGGGTGCCTGCAGTCAACAATAAGGTGTTCAGATCTCACAATAGCTAGAAGAGAAGATTCTGAATGATAAATGTTTGAGTTGATGGATTTCTCATTCATTACCCTGATGTAATCATTACATAATGTATACATGTATTGAAACAATATATTATACCCCATAAATATGTGCATATTATGTATTAATTAAAAATAAAAAAATTTTTTTATGGCTAGGCACAGTGGCTCATGCCTGTAATCCCAGCACCTTGGGAGACTGGAGCAGGTGGATCACCTGAGGTCAGGAGTTCAAGACCAGCCTGGCCAATATGGTGAAACCCCACCTCTACTATACAAAAATTAACTGGGCGTGGTGGTGCATGCCTGTAATCCCAGCTACTTGGGAGACTGAGGCAGGAGAATTGCATTAACCCAGGAGGTGGAGGTTGCAGTGAGCCAAGATCCCACCACTGCACTCCACCCTGGGCTGCAGAGTGAGAATGTCTCAAAATATATATACATATATATATATAATTTTTTAAAAGTATTTCAAAAGGCAAATTTTTAAAATTGGGAAAAACATTTTTGGTGATTTAGACAAATGAGTTAATATTTTTTTTCTGCGAAGAGTTGTATCTTTATTAACATGAAAACACTGAGTCCCAGTTCAGGGATGTTCAGAGGACATGAGGCTACTTAACAGATAGAAGAAGTTACATCATTAACAACCTCCTGCTATCATATGTAACAGTAACTTAGCATTTATTGTTAAATTACACTAATATAGTATTAAAGCATACTAATTTATACTAAGGAATAAATCCTGAGGAACTGTTGGCAGAGGAGAACTGGAATAGCTCATGTCAAGCTGTGTAAGTGGCCCAAGAGGGGAAGAGAGTGCAGTCACTGGAAATGTTTACTGATAGTGTATGATAACATGGCTGATGGTGATGATAAATTAAGTTTTAAAAACAGGATAAGGGGCTGGGCGTGGTGGCTCACGCCTGTAATCCTAGCACTTTGGGAGGCCAAGAAGGGCGGATCACCTGAGGTCAGGAGTTCGAGACCAGCCTGGCCAGCATGGTGAAATGCCGTCTCTACTAAAAATACAGAAATTAGCTGGGCATGGTGCTGTGCACCTGTAGTCCCAGGTACTCAGGAGACTGAGGCAGGAAAATCGCTTGAACCTGGGAGGCGGAGGTTTCAGTGAGCTGAGATTGCGCCATTGCACTCCAGCCTAGGTACCAAGGGTGAAACTCCATCTCAAAAAAAGAAAAAAAAAAAAAAAAAAGCCAAGCATGATGGTGTATACCTGAAGTCGCAACTATTTGGGAGGCTTAGGTGGGAGGATCACTTGAGCCCAGAAGTTCAAGGTTGCAATGAGCTGTGATTGTACCACTGCACTCCAGCCTGGGAGACAGAGCAAGACCCTGTCTCTGAAAAAAAAAAAAGGAAAACAAAAGTACTAAATGTTAGCTGTAGTTGGGTTTAGGTGATGGGACTTTCTATTAATTTTTTTAAAACTTTCTTCTCTGTTGTATTTTTATAATTTTTTTTCAAAATGAGTTGCATTTCTATGCCCTACCAATGAACAATCTGATAAAGATATTAAGAAAACAATTCCAGGGCTGGATGCAGTGGCTCAAGCCTGGAATGCCAGCACTTTGGGAGGCCAAGGCAGGTGGATCACTTGAGTCCAGGACTTTGAGATAACATGGTGAAACTCCGTCTCTACAAAAAATTATTATTATTATTATTATTATTATTATTATTATTATTATTATTATTATTTAGATGGAGTCTCGCTCTGTCACCCAGGCTGGAGTGCACCCAGCCTCAAAAATTTTTTAAATTAGTGAGGCATGGTGGCAGGTGCCTATAGTCCCAAGCTACTTGAGAGGTGAAGTGGGAGGATCTCCTGAGCCCAGGAGACAGAGGTTGCAGTGAGCTGTGATCATGCCACACTGTGCTCTAGCCTGAGCAACAGAGTGAGACCCTGTCTCAGAAAAATAAAACAATTCAATTTACATTAGCATCAAAAAGAGTAAAGTACTAGGGAATAAATTTAACCAAGAAAGTGAGAGACTTGTACACTGAAAACTGAAAAATATTGCAGAAAAATTAAAGACAACCTAAATGAAGGAAAAACATCCATGTTCGTGACTCAGAAGACTTACTATTAAGACAATACTGCCCAACATGATCTGTAGGTTCAGTGCAGTCCGTATCAAAATCCCAATGGCATTTTTTGCAGATAGGAAAACGCTGCCGGGCGCAGTGGCTCACACTTAACAATTCCAGCACTTTGAGAGGCTGAAGCGGGCAGATCACTTGAGGTCAGGAGTTTGAGACCAACCTGGCCAGCATGGTGAAACCCTGTTTCTACTAATAATACAAAAATTAGGCAAGTGTGGTGGCATGTATCTATAATCCCAGCTACTCGGAAGGCTGAGGCACAAGAATCACTTTAACCTGGGAGGCAGAGGTTGCAGTGAGCCGAGATTGTGCTACTGCATTCCAGCCTGGGTGAGAGAGTGAAAACTGTGTCTCAAAAAAGAAATAGGAAAACCCATCCTAAAGTTCATGTAGAATTTATAGACTCTCAAGGGACCCTTATTGTTTAAAACAATCTTGCAAAAGAAAATAAAGTTGTAACACATGCATTTTCTTATTTCAAAACTCACTATGAAGCTACAGTGACCTAACAGTTTGCTGCTGGCAAAAGGTCAGGCATATGGACCAGTGGACTAGACCCATGGAGAGCCCAGAAATAAACTTTTGTATCAAATCATTTTTGACAAGGATGCCAGAACCATTCAATGTCAAAAGGACAGTCTTTTTAACTAATGGTGCTGAGAGGCCGGGTGCGGTGGCTCACGCCTGTAATCGCAGCACTTTGGGAGGCCAAGGAGGGCAGATCACTTGAGGCTGGCAGTTCGAGACCAGCCTGGCCAACATGGCAAAACCCCATCTCTACTAAAAATACAAAAATTAGCTGGGTGTGGTGGGTGGATGCCTGTAATCCCAGCTAGTCGGGAGGCTGAAGCATGAGAATTGCTTGAACCCAGGAGGCGGAGGCCAGTCAGCCAAGATGGCACCACTGCACTCCATCCTGGGCACAGGTCCCCTGAGTGGGACCCTGTCTCAAAAACAACAAACAAAAAAGGTGCTGGGAAAACTAGATATCCGTGTGCAAAAGAATGAAGTTTGACCCTTACTTTATACCCTGTACAATAAATTAACTGAAAGTGGATCAAAAACATAAACATTAAGAGCTAAAACAATATGCAATCCCAGCACTTTGGGAGGCCAAGGCGGGCGGATTATGAGGTCGGGAGTTCGAGACCAGCCTGGCCAACATAGTGAAACCCCGTCTCTACTGAAAATATAAGCATTAGCCGGGCATGGTGGCACGGACCTGTAGTCCCAGCTACTCGGGAGGCTGAAGCAGGAGAATCGCTTGAACCCAGGAGGCGGGGGTTGCAGCGAGCGGAGATCATGCTTTTGCACTCCAGCCTGGACGACAGAGTGAGACTCCATCTCAAAAAAAAAAAAAAAAAAAGAGCTAAAACAATAAAACTCTTTGAAGAAAATACAGGAGAAAATCTTTATGATACTGGATTTGGCAATGATTTCTTGAATGTGATACCAAAAGCACGGACAGCAAATGAAAAAATATGTAAATTGGACTCCATCAACATTTAAAACTTCTGTGTGTTAAAGGACATTATCCAGAGAGTGAAAAGACAGTCCTCAGAATGGAATATTCACAAATCATATATCTGATAAGGAATTAATATCCTAGAGTGAATTTTGAGATGACATTTTCAGTATAGGGGAAAAAAATCCAGATTAGGGGTGGTGGCTCACCCCTGTAATCCCAACACTTGGGGAGGCCAAGGTGGGAGGATCACTTGAGACCAGGAGTTTGAGACCAGCCTGGGCAACAGAGAGAGCCCCTGTCTCTACAGAAAGTTTAAAAAAATTAGCCAGGCATAGTGGCATGTGTCTGTAGTCTCAGCTACTTGAAGGGCTGAGGTAGAAGGATCACTTGATGGCTGCAGTGAGCCATCACACTCTAGCCTGGGTGACAGAGCAAGACCCTGTCTCAAAAAAAAAATCCTTTTATTTCCTATATCTCCTATAAGTAAAGCACATCTATACTGAACCACAGTGAACTACGTAATGTGACAATAATTGTACTGAAATTGATCCTGTGTGTTCTGGCAGTAGTTGTGAGTGCTGTAATTGTGCAGATGCTCTTCTTGCTGATGCTCCCTCCTTTTCGCTTTAGGATTCCACCAGTACTGTTGCTGCTCTTCTCATAGACTTCAAAAGCTCATTGCTTCCTCACCTCCCAGTTCATTTCCATGGATCAAGCAATTTTCTGATGATTGCCCTTTTCCCCAAATCGAAGATATACCAAGCATTTTACTCAGAGGTAATATCAGTCATTATTCAGCAAAACTACTACTACTTTTTTTTCCCCCTAGCAATTTAAATGGTAAGGCATCATTTTGGGGCTAACAGTGAAGTGATGAGAGGGAGAGTTAGGAGGGCTGGATGGTGTGGGGTGACTGCTTCTAATCCCTTCAAGTTCTGGAGTGGTGCTGTTGGCAATGAGAGGTGAGAGCTGGAAGAAACTGAACAAGAGGGTTTTTAGCCTTTAAGAAAAATCTGCTTTGTCCTTTAAATCCTAATTAGAGTTATCTCTTATTTAGCTACTTTATTGAATTGTTGGGCCCTACCTACTGAATTAGTGTTCTCTTTGCCACCCTATAGTCTCCTTCCCCATGGGCCAGTCCCTGCCCTTGCGAATGGTACCACCTGGCAGGCTGCACTTTATAGATACTCAGCACAGATGGCATAGATGAGGGAGTTTACGAGAATGAAACGACCCACTTAGAGACCAAGCAATAGCCAAAGCCAAACTGATGGCCAGCCTCATGACTAGTGGGAATTCTTGGAAAGGTGTGATTACAGCAGCTTGTGAGGGGACAGTGTTCCTCCCTCAGGTCAGATTCGCAGACCATAGAGGATGCAAGAGTTGACCTTGGCTATAGTATAGCTTCTCAGCCCAGTCTGTGTCTTCCACCTTTGCTGGACCTTTTTACCTCCTTGTGCTTGTCCTTTCAATCTGGGAAAATAAAGACGGCTCTTTAGGTTCTCTTCAGCCATCCCTCTGCTTCTTGGCAGGAGTTGCTTGAACCACTCCTTTCTGTCTCCCTAGAGGAGAACATGCGTCTGCTGCTAGGACAGTGTTACCCGACCCCTTTCTCCTTACTTCCTGACCTCTCAAGGAGCAGAATCCCTGGGGGAGTAACCCAGAAAGACATTCTGGTTTTTAAAAATACAGAACAAAATTGCTTCAGGCCTCTATTTTTGAAGCAAACTTGTTTGTTATAGTCATTTTCTCTGCAGTGACAGTCTAGATTTTCAACAACCATCAAATCCCCATGTGGCTTCCATATCCTGTTGTTGGGTTTAAAGTGTTCTTTGCTCAAATTCTGTTTTGTTTAGGTCTTCTCCCTCTGGAAACAGCAGGATAACTCAGGGATCTCTTTAAAAGTGATCCAGGAAGATGGATTATCTGTGGAACAAAAGAGATTGTAAGTGGCTGCTTCAGTATTTGTGCTTGCTTCCCTAGGCTTTGTGGGTGTGCTCTCTCTGCAGGATGCCTCGCATTATGTAACACAGGGGTCTTGGCTTCTGAAAGGGTCAACACAGACATTTCAATGCTGCCAACTTGCAGGTAGCCGGTGCCCTTGGGGGAATAGAAGGCAAGAGAGGGCCATGTGCAGTGCCTCACACTTGTAATCCCAACACTTTGGGAGGCTGAGGCAGGAGGATGAATTGAGCACAAGAATTAGAGACTAGCCTGCCTGGGCAACATAGTGAGACCCCGTCCCTACAAAAAATAAAAAATTAGCTGGGTATGGTGGCACATGCCTGTAGTCTCAGCTAGTCAGGAGGCCGGGGTGGAAGGGTTACTTGAGCCCAGGAATTCAAGGTTGCAGTGAGCCGTGACCATGCCATTGCACTTCAGCCTGAGTGATGAAACAAGACCCTTTCTCAAAAAAAAAAACGAAAAATGTCCCCACTGCCAGGAGCCAGTGTGGCTGTGAGGGGCCACGTCTCACAGCCCTGACCCGGGCCAAGCATGGTGTTGGGCGCCGGGCCCGTCTCACCTGTCTTGGGGGGCGCCCAGTGTCTTACTCTGTCACCCCGGGTAGAGTGCAGTGGTGCGGTCCTGGCTCACTGCAGCCTTGACCTCCTAGGCTCAGGTTATCCTCCCGCTTAGCAGGTGGGACTACAGAGGTTGCAGAACTTGAAGCTAATTTACCTTGTACATGTAAAGTGCATTTTCCTGATCCAAACAAGCTTCACTGTTCTCAGCTAACAGTAACTCCAGATGAGGGTTACTACCAGGGTGGAAAATTTCAGCTTGAAACCGAAGTTCCCGATGTGTACAACATGGTGCCTCCCAAAGTGAAATGCCTGACCAAGATCTGGCACCCCAACATCACAGAGACAGGGGAAATATGTCTGAGTTTACTGAGAGAACATTCAATTGACGGCACTGGCTGGGCTCCCATGAGAACATTAAAGGATGTCGTTTGGGGATTAAACTCTTTGTTTACTGATTTTTGAATTTTGATGATCCACTGAATATTGAAGCTGCAGAACATCATTTGCAGGACAAGGAGGACTTCCAGAATAAAGTGGACAACTACATCACGCGTTATGCCAGATAATAAAAGGGGACGGTTGCAGGCCCATGGACTGTGTTACAGTTTGTCTCTAATGTGAAACAGCAGGAGGTAGCCCCACCTCCCATCCTCACGCTCCCTCTCAGTCCCCTGGATTGCCCCAGTCCTGTGACCATGTTGCCCTGAAGAAGACCATCTTCGTGACTGCTCATTGTAGATGGGGAATTCAACATAAATACAGCAAGAAAATGTGTTTGGGCTTCTTTAAAAAAAAAAAAAAAGGTCAGGCGCAGTGGTTCACGCCTGTAATCCCAGCACTTTGGGAGGCCGAGGTGGTGGATCACCTGAGGTCAGGAGTTCAAGACCAGCCTGGCCAACAAGGTGAAACCTCATCTCTTCTAAAAATACAAAAACTATCCGGGCATGGTGATATGCGCCTGTAATCCCAGCTACTGGGGAGGCTGGAGGCTGAGGCTGGAGAATCTCTGGAACCTGGGAGGCAGAGGTTGCAATGAGCCGAGATCGTGCCACTGCATTCCAGCCTGGGTGACAGAGCCAGACTCTGTCTCAAAAAAAGAAAAAAAAAGTGGGAGCTGGGTGCGGTGGCTCATGCCTGTAATCCCAGCACTTTGGGAGGCCGAGGTGGGCGGATCATGAGGTCAGGAGATCGGGACCATCCTGGCTAACACAGTGAAACCCCGTCTCTACTAAAAATACAAACACAAAATTAGTTGGGCGTGGTGGCAGGCACCTGTAGTCCCAGCTACTTGGGAGGCTGAGGCAGGAGAATGGCGTGAACCCGGGAGGCGGAGCTTGCAGTGAGCCGAGATCGCACCACTGCACTCCAGCCTGGGCAACAGAGCAAGACTCCATCTCAAAAAAAAAAGGAGAGGTGAAATCACCGAGAATCAGAAACTCATGGTATTATCAAGGGATTTCAGGCCAACCTTTCTATGTGGACTTACCCATCATCATGCACTAACACCTCATTTTGTTTAAGTCTGAGATGTGTGTTTTGGAAGAGTTGACTCTGTCATTGGACTCTGGCTTGAAAGCATCAGGCCCAGTTGTGTAAAGTGTATATGCTGAAGGAAGATGGACTTCTAATCTGTGAGCTTTTGTTATTCCAGGCACTCCAGTGCACAGAAGCTCTTCAGTGCCCTGAGCCAGCCTGCTGGGGAGAAACGGAGTTCCCTAAAGTTACTCTCAGCCAAACTCCCAGAGCTGGACTGGTAAGCTCTGGTTCTGTTTATAGATGTTTAATATTCTGGCTTTTGAAATGTCGGAAACCTCAGTGTTGGTCCTTTTAAGCTCCTTTTTCTTGTAGTTTCTTAGAGATCACTGTAAAATGTCGCAGTAACACACTGTACACAATTTTATTCTCTAGAGAGAATCTCTCCAAGGTTTATTTTTCAGCAATTAAGTAAAAACTTTTTCATGTGAGTAGGCACCTTCAGGACAGGCTAGGATGGTAACATAATAGCATTGTCTTTGTGTTTTTAGGTTTCTCCAGCATTTCGCCATCAGCAGCATTAGCCAGGAGCCTGTGATGCGGACCCATCTTCCTGTGCTGCTGCAGCAAGCTGAAATCAACACTACTCACAGAATAGAAAGTGACAAGGTAGAGGAGCTCACCAGATATGCTGGGAATTCACAGGAAGATGATCTTGAGAGCCTGCCCCTGAATCTTTTGTGTCAGTTAACAAAAAGAACTTAGATGGAGTCCCTGTTACAGGACTCTCCACTTCCTTGGATCCTGAAATGTAATGATAACATGTAACCTGCTGTATACAATGACTGTGTCAGGTGTCTACATTAACCCCAGCCAAGCCTCATGACAGTGACAAAACCCTAGCATCTTGCCGTGCCCTTCCCTGGCCTCTCAAGAACATTTAAACTCCTACTCAGTGCTTTCATGCCATCAGCTCTTCCTGATTGTGACAGGAACTTACCTGGCAGTGGTTGACACATTGCACTTAATACAGGGAAGGGCACCCATGTTATTCAGGCCTTGCCGGAATCAGCAGGGTAAAGTGATACTTTATAAACACTATCTTCCCCAGAGTGGATTTTTTTTTTTTTTTTTTTTTTTTGTCACCCAGGCTGGAGTGCACTGGCGTGATCTCGGCTCACTGCAACCTCCGCCCCCTGGGCTCAAGTGATTGTCCCGCCTCAGCCTCCTGAGTAGCTGGGATTACAGGCATGCACCACCACGCCTGGCTAATTTTTGTATTTTTAGTAGAGACAGGGTTTCACCATGTTGACTAGGCTGGTCTCGAACTCTTGACCTCAGGTGATCCGCCCACCCCGGCCTCCCAAAGTGCTGGGATTACAGGTGTGAGCCACTGTGCCCGGCCCCCAGAGTGGATTTTAATCTGCTCTTGCCTCACACTTCGTCTTCTTGACCCCCTCCCACCATTCCTTCAGAACCATAAGTCTCTTTTTTTTTTTTTTTTTTTTTTTTTTTGAGACGGAGTCTCCCTCTGTTGCCCAGGCTAGAGTGCAGTGGTGTGATCTTGGCTCACTGCAACATCCACCTCCCAGGTTCAAGGGATTCTCCTGCCTCAGCATCCCGAGTAGCTGGGATTACAGGCATGCGCCCCCACGCCCGGCTAATTTTTTGTATTTTTAGTAGAGACGGGGTTTCACCGTGTTAGCCAGGATGGTCTTTTTTTTTTTTGAGTCTTGCTCTGTCGCCTAGGCTGAAGTGCAATGGCACAATCTTGGCTCACTGCAACCTCCGCCTCCTGGATTTAAGCAATTCTCCTGCATCAGCTTCTCAAGTAGCTGGAATTTCAGGTACCTGCCACCACGCCCTGTTAATTTTTTGTATTTTTAATAGAGATGTGGTTTCACCATGTTGGCCAGGATGGTCTCAAGCTCCTGACCTGGTTCACACTCCTGACCTCAGGTTATCCACCTGCCTCAGCCTCCCAAAGTGCTGGGATTACAGGCGTGAGCCACCATACCTGGCTTTTTTTTTTTTTCTTTTTTGAAATGGAGTCTCGCTCTGTTGCCCAGGCTAGGGTGCAGGGGCCCGATCTCGGCTCACTGCAACCTCTGCCTCCCAGGTTCAAGTGATTCTCCAGCCTCAGCCTCCTGAGTAGCTGGGATTACAGGCATGTGCCACCAAGCCCAGCTAATTTTTGTATTTTTAGTAAAGGCAGAGTTTCACCATGTTGCCAGGCTGGTCTTGATCTCCTGACTTCGAGTGATCCTCCCGCCTCGGCCTCCCAAAGTGCTGGGTTTACAGACATGAGCCACCGCGCCCAGCCCAGAACCATAAGTCTTAATAGGCTCAAAGAGGATATTTATTTCCATGCAAGTCTAGAAGATACTCAGCTGCAAAAGGAAATAAAAGCACTAAGCAATGAGAAACGTCATTTTTTCCCTTAGGCAAGAGTGTAAAGCATCTGTTTGTAAAGCATACCTACTTGTTGTATTTTATTAAAAGGTGCTCGCCCAGGCGGCATGGCTCATGCCTGTAATCCCAGCACTTTGGGAGGTCGAGGTAGGTGGATCACCTGAGGTCAGGAGTTCGAGACCAGCCTGACCAACAAGGTGAAACCGCGCCTCTACTAAAAATACAAAAATTAGCCAGGCATTGGTGGCAGGTGCCTGTAGTCCCAGCTACTCGGGAGGCTGAGACAGGAGAATTGCGTGAACCCGGGAGGCGGAGGTTGTAGTAAGCCAAGATCGCACCACTGTACTCCAGCCTGGGCAATGGAGCGAGACTCCATCTCAAAAAAAAAAAAAAGGTGCTCTTGGATTGGCCTTAAAGTAAAAACATGTCTGGCTGTATGTACATGTGCTGCGATTTGAGGGGCTGAGACCTGGGCACTGAGAAATAGGAACGAAGACAGGGAAGGCTGGATAGGAGGAGGATAAACATGGAGTACTGCCTGAGGGGTAGAAAGGGGTACGGTGTAGAGGCCCTGGTCAGAGGGAACAAGAGACAGCTTCTGGGTCCTACAAAAGAAGAGGGATTTACGGCCGTCTTCTCTGTGCTGATGTGGGCAGCTCAAGTGATGAGTGCTTCCAGGCTTAGCTTTAGCATAAGTTATTTGTGACTGGGCCTGTCCCAGTGAGTCTTGTGTATTGTGAAATAAAACTTAACAGGCTGGGCTGGTGGCTCACGCCTGTAATCCCAGCACTTTGGGAAGCTGAGGCAGGTGGATCACGAGGTCAAGAGATTGAGACCATCCTGGCCAACATGGTGAAGCCCCGTCTCTACTAAAAATACAAAAAATTAGCCAGGCATGGTGGTGGGCACCTGTAGTCCCAGCTACTCGGGAGGCTGAGGCAGGAGAATCACTTGAACCTGGGAGGTGGAGGTTGCAGTGAGCCGAGATTGCACCACTGCACTCCAGCCTGGCGACGGAGCGAGACTCCGTCTCAAAAAAAAAAAAAAAAACAAAAAAACTTACAGAGGCACTTGCCATGCCAAGTCATTTACATAGACCTCCCTCGGTGATTGCAGGGTTCCTGTCCTCACCTGCCTGATGCCTCCTTTTTCAGTGAATTTATTAAGTTGCTTTGGAATATCTACCTGAAAGGGGACCTATTTTCCTGTGGGTGTATAATAAGGTTAGGACAGTTCAGCCTGGCCCCTCTTCTCTTCCAGAATCACAAGTGCTTCACACGCACAGTGAGTAAGACTTAGCCCTGGTCGGCCAGGTGCGGTGGCTCACGCCTGTAATTCCAGCACTTTGGGAGGCCAAGGCGGGTGGATCACCCAAGGTCAGGAGTTCGAGACCAGCCTGGCCAACATGGTGAAACCCCGTGTCTACTAAAAATGAAAAAATTAGCTGGGTATGGTGGCATGTGCCTGTAATCCCAGCTACTTGGGAGGCTGAGGCAGGAGAATCTCTTGAACCCAGGAGGCGGAGGTTGTAGTGAGCTGAGATCACACCACAGCACTTCAGCCTGGGCGACAGAGTGAGACTCCATCTCAAAAAAAAAAAAAAAAAAAGACTTAGCCCTGACCGTGTGACTTGGAGGGCACAGGCAACCAGGCAGAAGCATCCCCAGCACCACTCTCCTGTCTTCTGCCCTAGTTTACTACACCAGTGTAGCCTGGGGCATTTTTGTCCCAGACCTCCTTTCTGCCCAGTGTTTTCCTAAGAAATAGTTACTACTGGGAAAAAAAGTCATAATATCCCTGAATGTCTGCTTTACAGAAGAGATCTGTGGTCTCAAGCAGGTAGGTCCTTTAATGCATTGTATTTTAACTAATCTATTCACAATATGCTCTAATTAGTGTTACTACTCTAGTAAAAATTAAACTAGTAACACTACATTTTATATGGTATTTGCTACATGGCAAGCACTGTTCTAAACACTTTGCTTATGTTAACCCAGTTAATCCTCACACCCACTTTACAATATAGGTTCTGTCATTGGCCTAAGGTCACAGAGTTAGTGAGAGGTCATACTGAGGTTCACACCCACAATGCTTGGCACCAGAAGTCAGTTCTCTTAACCTCTTCTTACATAATGCAATGCAGTTGAATTGCAAACCCATGACTTTTTCTTCATGTAGGTAATTATCAGCATTGTAACCGGCCTCCCAGGCTGTCACGCTAGCGAGCTCTGTGCTTTTCTGGTCACTCTGCATAAGGAATGTGGCAGGTTAGTATGGCTGATGCCTTTGCTTTGGGGAAAGGGATTCTAACTTGGGCCTGCCTAGGCACTGGAAAACCTTAGACATGTACTGGCCTTGGTGGGACTGGTATCAGCATGGTAGTCAGCCATTCATTTAATATGCTCTTCTGAGCACTTCCTGTATGGCAGGCACTGTTCTGAGTATGAGAGAATACATCGATGAACATACAGACACGAAAATCTCTGCACTTATGGAGCTTACATTCTAGTTTGGTAAGACAAACAGATAAGGAAAAGTATATTAACTAGTGAAAAGTTCTATGGAGAAAATAAAGCAGAGAAGGGGCCAGGTGCAGTGTCTCACACCTGTAATCCCAGCACTTTGGGAGGCAAAAGTGGGTAGATCGCCTGAGACCAGGAATTTGAGACCAGCCTTGACAACATGGCAAAACCTACAAAAATACAAAAATTAGCCGAACGTGGTGGCATGCACCTATAGTCCCAGCTACTCGGGAGGCTGAGGTGGGAGGATCACTTGAACCTAGGAGGGCGAGGCTGCGGTGAGCTGAGATTGCGCCACTGCATCCCAGCCTGGGCAACAGAGTGAGACCCTGATTAAAAAAACAAAACAAAAAAACAGAAAATAAAGCAGGGAAGGTTATAGGAAGTGCAGGGCTGGGAGTGGGGTTTCAGTTTTCTGTTTTGTTTTTAGAGATGGGGTCTCTCTCTGTCACCCAAACTCGCGTACAGTGGCACGATCATAGTTCACCTGTAACCTCAAACTCCTGGGTTCAAATTATCCTCCCACCTGACCCTCCCAAGTAGGCAGGACTACAGGTGTGCACCATCACACCTAACTAATTTTTTAAAATTATACTTTAAGTTTTAGAATACATGTGCACAACGTGCAGGTTTGTTACACATGTATACATATGCCATGTTGGTGTGCTGCACTAATTTTTAAAAAAGCTTTTAGAGGTGGGGTTTTGCTGTGTTGTCCAGGCTGGTCTCAAACTCCTGAGCTCAAGTGATCCTCCCACCTCATTCTACAAAGTAGCTGAGATACAGGCACACGCTACTGTGCACCCAGCTTAGATTCCAATTTTAAATTGGATGGTCTGGGAAAACTTGACTAAGGAGGTGATATTTGAGCAGAGACTTTAAGGAATAAACCATGTAGCTATCTAGGGGAGAGCATTGTAGCAGCAGGTCAAGCAAATGTAGAGGGCTGGGAGTGCATCTGGTCAGCAGGGAAATTCAGGGTCATGATGGTTATAAAACTTAGGCCTGGTGGATGTCATGATCCTCCCATGAGCACAAGGAGACTGCCTGAGTTCAGATGCAGCTGGAACAGGTTGGCCCAGGTGAAATCAGGAAAATCATTCATCCTTCACTTCCACCTGGCTGTCAGATTACCAAACAACCCTTGCAGATTGAACCAGGTGTTTAATATCCAGTCAGTCTACCCCAAGGTAAGGCATCCTGCAGGAGGCCGTAAAGAAATTTGGAAGCCTGAAATTGCATAGAGAGTCGGCAGTTTAGGATGGGATATTGTGGAGAATGGGGAGGCAAATTACAGAGCAATGCTTGGGAAATACAGGACCTCATTTATTGAGTACTAAATGTCTAACCAGTTCCTCGTGTCTAGTGTTTTTGTTCTATAAAGATTCTGAATTATTCACCCTGCCCATTTATTTTTATTTTTGAGATGGAGTTTCACTCTTGTTGCCCAGGCTGGAGTGCAGTGGTGCGATCTCAGCTCACTGCAACCTCTGCCTCCCGGGGTCAAGCGATTCTCCTGCCTCAGCCCCCCAAGTAGCTGGGATTACAGGCATGCGCCACCAAGCCCTACTGATTTTGTATTTTTAGTAGAGATGGAATTTCTCTATGTTGGTCAGGCTGGTCTTGAACCTCCCGACTTCAGGTGATCCGCCCGCCTCGGCCTCCCAAAGTGCTGGGATTACAGGCGTGAGCCACAATGCCCAGCCAACCCTGCCCATTTCTGATTCTTAGCAAGAGACTAACTGAAGCCATCTTTTGCATGGTCCTTCAGAAAGTGACTGCCTGGTCAGAAGGAGTCTTTCTTACCTCTGATGTCTGTTGGTCAAGTGCTTACCTGACCATTTTCCCTATGGCAAGGGGTTTCCTATCAAAAGCCCCAGTGACAGTGGTTTCAGGATACTGGGCTTCCAACCCATCCAGTGCCCTCTGCCTTTTTTCTGTGAGGCCAAGATGGCTTTCTCCTGAATGGATTCACTGGGCAGAATGGCTTTAGGACTCATGGTCACATTTGAATCCATGGCTGAACCTATGGAGCTAGGCCATCAGGTGGCCCCCATGCAGAGGTTACCTTTTACCTTTCCAGATGGATGGTGTATCGCCAAATCATGGACAGCTCTGAATGTTTTCATGCTGCACACTTCCAGAGATACCTTTCCAGTGCCCTAGAGGCCCAGCAGAACCGCTCTGCGCGCCAGTCAGCCTACATCCGCAAGAAGACCAGACTGCTGGTGGTGTTACAAGGGTGAGCATTGGAAGTCTCCTGGAAACAGTCGAATCAGGGTGATGACCTTGCCATTACTCTTATTTTATGTGTAACAAACCTGGAGCACAGAACAGACTCTACATGCATGAGCAGTGTCTGCGCTACAGAGAAGCCTTAAGCGAGCAATGACCCTATTGCCATCCTATGGCCTATAGGCTAGTATAGCTTGCACACAAGTTTTAAGTTTGGATTTAACATCATCATATCCCCACAAGGTGGGGAATTAGGGAACCTGGCAAGATTCATTGGGAATTTTTGCAGCAGTAGTGGTCCCTAAGTCTTCATTCATCATCTAAATAAGGGAGCTTCATCTGTTTCAGTCCTCCCTCTTGTGGAATTGCAGAGATGACCCTCATACTCTGCAGTCTCCAGCTTCACCATGCCCTGGATTGTGGCCCAGGAGAGTTTCCTGGGACCTTCAGTGAGGAGTGGGAATATTCATATTGGGTAAGAAGCTCCCCTTTCATGGCTGTGTGCAGAACTATGATTATAGGCTGACTAGCTCATGAAGTCTCTGTAAGCATGATTATTTTGAGTGTGCAACACGGGAGGGCAGGTTTGACAGAGCTTGTACCACTGCTCCAGGGGACCCTGGCTGAAAGGAGTTTCTTTTGACCTGTTCTAAGGCCTTTCAGGGAGGAGCCCCTCACAGACCCATCACCACTCCAGGCTCAGAGGGGAATGCGCAGTCAGGAAAACAGGAGCCATGCTTTTCACTAATGTTGTTATGGTTGGTGGTAATAAAGAAGCTTTTGGTAGTTCTTACAAAGTGCTTTTGTGCTATGTTAGTGTTTGCAATTGGCTAGTTGTTTCCAGTAAAGAATGGGTCCCAATCCAAAGCCCCTTTGGTGTCCTGGCTGTGATGATGGGAATTGGAGCAAAGCTGGGAGAGTGGTACTGAGGAAGGAGGCAGGTGGGACGGTGTACCCTAGCAGGCCATCTTTCCCTTTCGAGCCTTGTTCTCATACCTTGCCTCCAGCTTACCTTCTGTCAGCCCTTTTGTCCTGCTTGTGGGCAAGGTCCTAGAAACCAGAGGAAGAGTCTGGGCTTGAAACCACTTGTTTTCTTCTGGTTTTTCATTGTTTCTACTGGTCAAAGGAATGGGTTGGCCCACCTCCTTTACTGCCTGCCCCCACCAGTTGAGAGTCACCGAGGGTGTGGACCTGGAGGTGAATTCAGCAGCTTGACAATGTGCAGTTGAGGTCATTTCCATCTTCCATCACTTCGGAGAGCATCACTGATTTTTTGTCTCTGACTTTACAATTCTGCAAAAGTGTCAGCTTTTCTAGCTGCTTCTGGACTACAGTGACAGTGTGACCAGACCACTCTTATACTGTAAACCCAGCCTTTGTCCCATCACAGCCCCAGGATATGGGGACCTCTAGTCAATTTCCTGGAGGACTCCAGTCAGAATACTAGCTAAATGCTGTGGCTCTTCACTAAGACGCTGTTCTTACCAGCTGGGCCCATGTAGCACCCTCCTTTATAGCATGTCCATCATCTTGGGGCTGGGCCTTCATGCCCATTATTTAGGTTGTTGGTGATGGGAGATCCCAGATGCTTCTCATATTAAGAATTGTATTCCTTGAATATGGCTTTATTTTCTTTTTTTCTTTTTCTTTTTTTTTTTTGAAACGGAGTCTTGCTCTGTTGCCCAGGCTGGAGTGCAGTGGTGCAATCTCAGCTCACTGCAACCTCCACCTCCCGAGTTCAAGCAATACTCCCACTTCAGCCTCCCAAGTAGCTGGGATTGCAGGCACACGCCACCACACCCGAGTAATTTTTGTATTTTTTAGTAGAGATCAGATTTCACTATGTTGGCCAGACTGGTCTCGAACTCCTGACCTCAGGTGATCCGCCCACCTCAGCCTCCCAAAGTGCTGCAATTACAGGCATGAGCCACCGCTCCTGGCCCTTTTTTTTTTTTTTAATGAGACAGAGTCTCACTCTGTCGTCCAGGCTGGAGTGCAATGGTGCAATCTCGGCTCACTGCAACCTCCGCCTCCTGGGTTCAAGCAATTCTCGTGCCTCAGCCTCCCAAGTAGCTGGGATTACAGGTGCTCACCACCACGCCTGGCTAATTTTTGTATTTTTAGTAGAAATGGGGTTTCACCATCTTGGTTAGGCTGGTCTTGAACTCCTGACCTCAAGTGATCCGCCTGCCTTGGCCTCCCAGAGTGCTGGGATTACAGGTGTGAGCCACCGCGCCCAGTTCCTGGCCTTTGTTTTTAGAGATGGGTCTCCCTATGTTGCCCAGGCTGGTCTCGAACTCCTGAGCTTAACCAATCTTCCCACCTCAGCCTCCCAAAGTGGTGGGAGTATGGGTGTGAGCCACCATGCCTGGCTTGGCTTTATTTTCATTTATAGCATTCTTTGGGGAAACATGTAATATAGGACAGAGATTTCTTTAGCCCCTAGAGTGGCCTGATGCCACTCAATTTAGTGAAGCGGTGGGGCAATAGAATTGAACTTTGACATCAAGTGGAGCTGTTAGTTGTTGTTTTAAAAATTGAATTTATGTATTTTAAAATGACAAAGTTTTAGAAATGGAGGACAGATTAGTGATTGACAGAGGTCAGAATGGGAGTGGAGGGCAGGAGGGAGGTGGGCATGTTTATAAAAGGGCAACACAAGGGATCCTTGTGTGTTGGAACTGTTTAGTATCCTGACCATGGTGATGGATATAAGAACCTACACAGGTGGTAAAATTGAATAGAACTTAATACACACACACACACATACACACACACAAATATAAGTAAAACTGGAAAAATCTGAATTTTAAAAAATTAATTTTAGAGAATTTGAGGGGCTGTATTTATACTCTGGAATATTATAAAATCATTCTTTAAAATTATCTGCATTAAAAACAAAATTTGAAATTAATGTAAAAACTTGTGCACACTCAGATTGTAGGCTTAAATTGCAAACATAAAACTGAGCCCAAAGGAGACTTGAATAGATTATCTGTTGTTTCAGAGAAAAGAAAGTTAAGGTCCTGCTGGGTTTTTGTTTAGTTTTTATTTTTAATAAAGAAAATACTGACAGAAAGCAAACGTGAAGAGACAGTTTTTTGCCTTCGTCATACAGTTGGGTCAGTTTAGCCAGAGTGGTCCGGTACAAGCTGTAGCCTGGCCACCATGGCTCACACATGTAATCCCAGCACTTTGGGAGGCCAAGGTGGGTGAATCACTTGAGCTCAGGAGTTTGAGAGCAGCCTGAGCAACATGAGGAAACCCTGTCTCTACCAAAAATACAAAAAATTAGCTGGGTGTGGTGGTGCACACCTGTGGTCACAGCTACTCAGGAGGCTGAGGCAGGAGGATCGCTTGAGCCTGGGAGGCAGAGTTTACTGTGAGCTGTGACCCTGCCACTGCACTCCAGCCTGGGCAACAGAGCAAGACTCTGTCTCAAAAAAAAAAAAAAAAAAAAAAAAAGACTCTAGTAACTTGAGCGTGGTGCTTCCTTCTGGGTAGGGGGTGCTCTTTCTGTCTGGAGGCCTCACCCAGGATGATTATGGGGCTGGGGAGGGAGGGAGGTTCTAACAGGGATTCCCCTAATGGATAGAGTGAATGGCCTGGGGCCTTCTCTCTTGAGGCAGTGCCCAGATGTATAGGCCTCATCAAGGAGACAGGGGCCTGTTTTTTACTCTAACCTTTTTCCATTAAAGTCAATGGAAATTAATGAAATGCTCTGAAAACCTAGAAATTCCCCAGGCACTCTCTCTAAGGGAAATCCTGTTATATTAAAATGACTCCTCAAGCATGACTTGTGAATCCTTTTCCGTTGTCCTTTGCTCCCCTAAGAAATGAGTCTCTACTGCTTACACTGAAGTCTCCTGTAGGCTGTTTTATGTTTGCAATTTAAGCCTACAATCTGAGTGAGCACATGTTTCACATTAACTGTAAGAGTTAAATCCATTAACTCCATTAAACACCACCACAGAGGGATGCAGAACAGCATGCACACGCCAGCCCTGCTTACCAGGCGTGCTTCTCTATGGGCCTGGCAGTGCGTGTTGTGGGTGGGACTCTCCTGGCATCCAGGCCCAGCCAGGCACTCAGTGGAAAGAGCCGCGTGTGGTCATACATACATGCCCAGGCAGGGGGAGAATCCCTGAAGAAGAGAAGGCTGTGAGCAGAGGGCTGTCAGGCCCCCCTGGGGGAACTCTTAGAACCTAGTAAACCCCGTTCTCTACTGAAGCACTGCCAGCTGATCAGGACTCAGGAGAACCTGGGGTGGGGTGGAGTATTGCAGTCTGGGGATAAAGCCAAGGGCCTTTTTACAGATGAGTTGTTCGTAGGAACTCAAGAACAACTCAAGCAGGCTGTACCTGTCCATACCACCACCACTGGCTTCCAAAGGGCTCAGGCTAAACCAGGCCCATCTGATCAGAAAAGCTGCCTGTTAGGTTTGACTTATTTCCATAGGAACAAACCTTTTGGTGATAGGCCGGATCAATCAGGAAAGAGTTCTCCTCTACAAGGTGAAGAGGCTAGGTCCCCTCTTGAAGTGGCCAGGGGCCTGCTCAGGGTTGAACATCCAGTTTATTCACCTACCCTGCTTTAGGCAGCAGAGATTACAGTACTCAACAACCACCTGACATTCTTATTATGGAGACAGTAAACAAATAAATGAGAAAATAGGGTATAAATAGCTGCCGATTGGGGCTTTGAAGAAACTTGGAGGAGGAGGTAGGGAATGCCAAGAAGCGAGGGTTGCTTGATCACACAGGGTGTATGAAGTCAGAGGATGCCTGTCCGTAAGATGCCGCCTGAGCAGAGACCTGAAGGGAGAGAGAACCACCCATGCAGATACCTGAGGAAAAGAACATTCCAGGCAGGGGGGCAAAGAATGCAGAGGTAGAAGTATGCCTGGCATGTTCAGAAAAGAGCCAGGAGACCAAAGTAGCTGGATTAGGGCAAGGGAAGTGATAGTAGATGAAATTCTTTGCTGCTCCATAGGGGGTCAGATCATAGAGGGCTGCCTGGGACATTGTAAGGGCTTTGGCTTTCACACAGAGTGAGATGGAAGCCACCAGCGGGTTTTGAGCAGAGAAATGACATGATCTGACTCTGGGTTTAGCATATCTCTCTGGCATCTGTGTTGAAAACAGATCAGAGAGAGGCAAGGACAGAAGCAGTGACAGCTGGGAGGCTGTTGGGGTGATCTAAGCAAGAGATTATAACAGTTTGGACCCAGTGGGAGCTTGGGGGTGTAAGCAGTGATCTCTTCTAGTTATATTTTGAAGACAGAAAAAAATGGAGTCAAAGGAGACCAAAAAAAATATATTTGAGCCTAGCATCTGAAAGAGTAGAGTCCATCTGCTGAAAAGGACAAGGAGTTTGGAGTTTGGAGAGAGTTCCAGGCAGGAGATACCAATGTGAGCTGTATTTGACATGGATGAGTCTGCTGACCTGGATGGGTCCGGACGCACTCTCTTGCCTGTGTGTTCTGAGAAGTGGGAAGGAGAGAAAGGAGCTACTAAAGAAAATAAGCAAGTGGCAGGAGCTCCTAACTTGATTAGAAAACAGGCCTAAGGACACTAGGTCCCACCCTCAGAGCTCCAGGATCGCCTGCAGGCTTCCTTTTACCTCCAGAGCAGGGTGGTTCTTCCCTCACTCTTGCCCAGTTATGAGGACTAATGGAACTTGGGAATGTAGAAACACTGTAGCTTCCAGGGGCTGCATGTCATGAAGTGGAGTGACACCAAGGGACCAGATTGCGGGCTCTTCCTTTTGGTTTTCTTTCCATCCTTGTTCAATCAGCCATTCGGGATTCCCCTCTTCCTCCACTTTGCAATGCCAGTCAGTGAACTAATCATTCCTTTTTTACCTTCCCCAGCTACACAGATGTTATTGATGTTGTCCAGGCCCTGCAGACCCACCCAGACTCAAATGTCAAGGCCTCCTTCACCATTGGTGCCATCACAGCATGTGTGGAGCCCATGAGCTGCTACATGGAGCACAGGTAGATACAGGATATGGTGTGTAAGTGTACTGAAAGTGATTTGTTTCCACCCACCAGAAGAAGACAGATCTTTTGGAATGCATTAGTCACCTTGTATGTAGTAAATGCTGTTCTTTTATTAGTGCTAGGTCCTCAATAGACCCCTTTGGACTTATAGCCAAAGAAGAGAGAGGAATTATGGAAGACAAGCTTAGCTTTTGTGAGGGAGAACTATTTCTGTTTAATAGTACATAGTAAGGACTTATGAAATACCTGCTAAATAAATGGGTGCTCCAACATGTGTGTACTAAATATTGTTAAAAAATAATTTAAGGCCAGGTGCGGTGGCTCATGCCTGTAATCCCAGCACTTTGGGAGGCCAAGGCAGGCAGATCACTTGAGGACAGGAGTTCGAGACCAGCCTGGCCAACATGACAAAATCCCATTTCTACTAAAAATACAAAAATTAACCAGGAGTGGTGGTGCACACTTGTAATCCCAGCTACTCAGGAGGCTGAGGCACGAAAATCGCTTGAACCCGGGAGGTGGAGGTTGCAGTGAGCTGCGATCGTGCCACTGCACCCCAGCCTGGGTGACAGAGCAAGCAAGACTCTGTCTCAAAAAAAAAATTTTTTTAATAAGGCGTAAAAGGACTGAAGTTGAGTATATAATCTATTTAAATATAGAAATAAGGCTAAAATTGGGTGAACATGATTATGGAATATAAGAATTTAAGTAACAAAATCAGGCAGGGCACAGTGGCTCATGCCTGTAATCTCAGCACACTTGGAAGATGGAAGGTTGGAGGATGCTTGAGCCCCGGAGTTCAAGAGCAGCCTGGGTAGCATAGTGAGACCCTGTCTCTGCCAAAAAAATAAATTAACCAGGTGTGGTAGTGAGCACCTGTAGTCCCAGCTACTTGGGAGGCTGAGGCTGGAGGATTGCTTGAGCCCAAGAGGTTGAGGCTGCAGTGAGCTGTGTTCATGCTACTGCACTCCAACCTGGGCAACAGTGAGACGCTATCTCAAAAAAAGGAGTTGACTTCCTTCACCAACTGAACAGTTGCTCCATTGTTTAAATTTTTTTTTTTTTCTTTGAGATGGAGTTTTGCTCTTGTTGCCCAGGTTGGAGTGCAGTGGCATGATCCCAGCTCACTGCAACCTCCGCCTCCCAGGTTCAAGCGATTTTCTTGCCTCAGCCTCCCGAGTAGCTGGGATTACAGGCATGCACCACCATGCCCGGCTAATTTTTTTGTATTTTTAGTAGAGACGGGGTTTCTCTGTGTTGGTCAGGCTGGTCTCGAACTTCCAACGTCAGGTGATCTGCCCATCTCAGCCTCCAAAAGTGCTGGGATTACAGGCTGTTTAAATTTTTTTAAGTAAAACTTTAAAGTAAGTAAAAGAATGCTTACTGTGTGGCAGCCTTCTGTGGACTGTGAGCACAGTGAAGTCAGTGAGTTCTATTCTTGGGAGACTCTGGTGTGGCTGTATCTTCCCTTGTTCCAGCCCCTTTGACCCTGCTTATAGCACATGGGTTTTCCTCCTTGGAATTCTTCAGAAACTATGAGGGAGTCAGGTAAGGGAACAGGATTCACAGCCCAACCTGGTATTCACCCAGCTCATCTACCAAATTTGGTTTCAAATGATGTGTGACTGGCTGTTGTCAGAAATCAAATAAAAGGATGAAGATTTGCTGCCACCAAGGAAATTCCAGGAGAGAAACTCCCCCAGTGTTGCGAACATCATTAATAACTGCCAGCTAGACCAGCAGCCATTCAGAAGAGTGGCTTCAGCTAGCATCCCAATTGCCAGGGAAGAAAACACAGGACCTCTGTGGTGCCAAACAGACCTGGGTCCCTGCCTTAGCCCTGCTGCCTCCCAGCTGCCTGTGAGACACTGGGCAAGCTTAGTGTGTTTAGCCGTCCTAAACCCATGCCTTTCATCTGTTAGATACCTGAGGCACAGAGCAGACAGGACGACAGAGCAAGATCATGTTTGTGAACTGCCTGCACAGTGCCTTGCCCACAGGAGGAACTCCATAAAAGGCAGCTATCCCCATTAGTGTTAGCTTTCTTCCTTGAGACAGGCCTTATGATGTTTTAGGAGTTCTGAAGTCCTGTGAGAATATGAGTTTTTCTCTGGAGCCTACTGCAGTGCTACAGTTGTTAAGTAACTCACACTTTGGATCAGTCACCCCCACCTCTTGCTTCACTTGTAATTCAGATGGTCAGTTTCCTGCTTTTCATTCACCTTTTGAGTTAAGAATGAGATTAAAGGAGAATTGAGGTTATAGCATGTACATAAAGAGAAGCATGGCAGCTTTGGTATTAAAGGCCCCTGGTAGAGTTAGATGAGTGTAATTCTTATTTTCCCTTGAAATATCCACTTTACTCAAAAACATATGTCTTTCAAAAAAGACCAGCTCTTTCTCCATCTCCCATAGACCAAAGAGCTGGTCCTGTCCCCAGTATCCCTCCTTCAGCATTCCACTTAGAATTGGCCATGTAGGGACTTCTGTGGGGCTCCTGGTGTGGGGAGCTTTGACGGAAAGCTGTAAAGTCCCATGGCTATCCTTAGTGCTCAGTGCTGCTGCCACCTGCCTCATCATGTGAGTCAATTTGCTTGTCAGTGGTACTCCTATTTGTATGGGAAATAATCAGTGACAACTCTGAGGTGAATGGTTTTTAAATATTTCCCCCTTTTTTCCCCCTAGATTTCTCTTTCCTAAATGTCTTGACCAGTGTTCACAAGGTAAGTAATATACTTTATTTTCAGCCTGCATGCCTTGCAAGTTCAGTAGAATTCAGCAATAGACTTTTCTTCGTGCTCTTACCTACCATTCTGAAATCTAAAGCAAACAAAATTGGTCAGAAAAAACTTTGACACCTTTACTTTTACCATATTTGATAGGCACATTTCTTCCAAGAGCTTGTCTCTTTTTTTTGAGACGGAGTCTTACTCTGTCGCCCAGATTGGAGTGCAATAGCGTGGTCTCGGCTCACTGCAACCTCTGCCTCCCAGGTTCAACTGATTCTCCTACCTCAGCCTCCCAAGTAGCTGGGATTACAAGCATGTACCACCACACCCAGCTAATTTTTGTATTTTTAGTAGAGATGGGGTTTCACCATGTTGGCCAGGCTGGTCTTGAACTCCTGACCTCGTAGTCCGCCCACCTCGGCCTCCCAAAGTGCTGGGATTACAGGCATGAGCCACGGCGCCTGGCCTGAGCTTGTCTCTTATGGCAACAAATTGCCACAGTAATACCTCTCCTTGAGCTGGGCTTAAGTCCACCTGGCATTCCAGCTAATACTAGTGGACTGAGTAGGTATTCCTAGCCTCTGGATCAGCAAGATCTTGATTCACTTCTGCCCCAAGAGTGCTGAGTTTGGCCCAGCGGGACCTGTCTTTCTTAATACCTCCCACCCCTATGCACCCTGGAATTTTCCGCATTTCCTTGATAACATTGAGAAAAATTCACCCATCCTGCAGGTTGCATTCAACCTTGCAGTGCCCTACTACCTGACAACCCTGGAAGCAGCACTTTCTAGTCATATTATCTGTGATGTTTGGAGGTCCAGAATAAATTCTGAATTCCCTGCAGTGGTGATGAAATGCTCATTGTTATCAGGAGACATGCCTGGGGTCTGGGCTTCCTGAGCTAGTCCAGCAAGCAGAAATCAGATGGAAGAAAACAACTCAGTGTCCCCAGCACAGTTTCATCCTGCTGATCGTATTGCCAGTCCGCAGGGAGCGGAGACAACAGAGCATACCAGAGTTGTTGTCTTGGGAAACAGCTGAGCTCATGCTGCCCAGGGCAGGAGGCTGGTCCCTGGAGGGAGGAATGTGTATGTTGGGCTGCTGTACCAGGTAGTCTCAGGTCCAGCTTTCAGAGGTCCCTGTTACTTTCTAGGCACTGCACCTCAGAAACAGGATGAAATGGAGATTGGGTAGGTCCATCCACAGTATCCACCCCAGGTAGATTAAGGAGATTTTGTGGAGGTTGGGTCAATAGGATCTGGTGACAGACTAGATGTGGGGCATGTGTTGGAAAAAGAGGTATCTAGGATGACTCCTAGGTTTCTAGCTTAGGAGATTAGGAAGGTTGGTGGTACCTGTCCTTCAAATAGAAAGCACAGGAGAAAACATAGGTCCAGGAGATAACCAAGGAGGGCTGTCTCATCCTAAGATACGTATTTGGAAGTCATGGTCAAAGTTAATGGCATGGACTGTAGTCAGCCAGTATCCAGATATAGAGTTGAAAAGATCAGAAGGCTAGAGATGGGGTGAGGGTGGAGGTTCCAGGACACCGAAAGAGAAGCAGGGAAGAGTGTTGCCTGAGACATTGAGGAAGGAGAAAAAGAGATCCACGATGTCTAATGCTGCAGAGACCTTGAGGGAAGAACAGAGAAAAGCCCACTGGCTCTGTAAGTGAGAAGGACCCTGATGACCTGAGTAGGAGGATCTGAGTGGAGAGGTGAGGGCTGAAGCCAGCTCCAAGTGGGCCAGTGGTCAAGTGAGATACTGGAAGCCAGCAGGTGCAGATGATATTCTAGAGTGCTTGGGGCTGTAAAAAGGAAGATGGCTAGAGAATACTTCCAAGAATTGTCATTTCTTAATGATCAGTTCCTCCTTATTTGCTGCTGAGAAAGCCTGTGGGCTGCAAGGAGATACTAGGTTTGATAGAGGGGACCCCTGAGAAGGAAGGGGTAGGGTCCAGAGCCCAAGTGAAGATTGACTCAGAGAAGCAGTGTCCTTGAGAAGAGCTTTAGTTGGAAGCAGGTGAAGTTGAGGAAGTGTTTGCCTAGGGGGCAGTATTGACTATCAGATGGTGTGCCTAGGACTTGCTGACCTGTCCAGCCTCAGGCCTGCCTTGTTCTTGTAAATGCTGGAGCCTTCTTTTCCTTTCAGAGCCCCTTGTCCACCGTGTGATGATTGGCACCCTAGTGCACCTCAGCTCCTTGGCATTCTCCCTCAGTGTCCCTCTTCTTTTTTGCATGAGGAACAAGCACAGATGGTGGGGCTTCCCTGGCAGAGAGCCTTGGGGAAGTGTTCTGTTTTCATCATTGAATCAGGGGCAGCCCTGGGCTTGTCTCACAAGAGAAAAGCCCCTTTTAGTCTGAACCCTTTGAGGCCAAAACAGACTGTTCTCTCTGGCATTTGGTAGGCATGTTTCATTTATACTGCCTTCCAACTCATTGTGCAAAGACAATGTGTGTTAAACTCTGTGCTTGTGTAGAGCTAGGGGTGTGATCAGATGTGGGCTGATCACCTTCAGGCCACATATGCTGTTTTCGGAACTCCTCCAAGGGGCTCATGGAGTGACACTGCCTTGCTTCTGGGCCCATGGGACCCTGTGGACTGGCCTGACCAGGCTTGCCATGGGCATGGGCTGTCTGGGGAGGGAGGAGATAAAAGGCAAGTATTTCTTTTCTCCTAGGAGATTTGGTAGCTGGCTTGGAGGTGGGATCTGCCAGCAGTAGACAAATACTTCATGTCCTAAGGGAGCATATTTCCTCCCTTTGCTCCTGTTCATGAGTCAGGCTACCCGATTCATAAGAGATTATTTTCCAGTTAGAAAAGGACTATGTTGCAGCCCCAAGACAATGTGTATTATAGAAATCAAAGGACTAAGAAATAATCTCAGTGCTTAAACAGCAAGTAAGACTCATTATAATGCTGGTGTGAGAGCAAAGTGGAGATACTTTACTGTCATGGCCTGCTTTTAAAAGCATCTGTAGATAGAAGAAGTCACCTTTGTTTTCTGCTGGGCTTCTGGAATACTTTAGCCCAGACTGGGATGGTCAGCCAGACAATAGGGATGTTTCTCTGCTCTTGGGAATAGGATACGCCAGGCTGTCTGCTCGCTCACAGCCCAGACTGGTGAGACCTTGGCCAAATCTGGCTGTCCACTCCTTGATACAGAACAGAAGGAAGCTCCTGGCCCAAACAAGGTGGAACCGCTCACTATGGCCTGTTCACCCTGTGCTCCAGATAACTGCTGTACCTGCCTCACAGATGGCATTTCCTCTTGGCAGGTGGCAGTTTACATAGCTGGCCTAAGGAATGCTGGGGATAATCCTCTTGCTTGTTTCCCTATAAAGCAAAGCCCCTTTTCTGTGCCCAGTTCCTGACCTAGAATCCCAACCCCACAAGCTTTGTCCATATGGTACATGTGCAGCAGACAGGACTTTGTACAAGTTGTGTCTGTCAGAGACCCAGATCCCAGCCTTTTCTTGGGCAGGCCAGGCCTGTGCTTGTGACCCTGGTGCACCACCGTTCATATGGCCACATTTGCACTAGTCTGACACTTTGGTTTCTTTTGCCCAAGAAGATACCAAACAGAGTCCTAGGGTATTTATAGATCTTCCCTCAACCTTTGCTGGCTCTTCACTGCCAGACCCGCCAGAGCTCTTCTTGCCTTCCACCCTGGGAATCTGGCAGGCCCTTTGTAGGATATGGCTTCCATGTCTGCCATCTCTAGAATGTGCTGAGGCTTCTGAGATCCTGCTTGCCTCCCCACTGTGCCACATTTTGGACTTGGCCTCCTGACTTTGCCTTACTCAGTTTCCAGAGGCCCTACTTTCTGTGGCTGCACCAGGGCATGGGATTCTGGCATCAAGCTTTCCAGGCTGGCTTTGCTGCCTCATCTGCAGCCTCCAGAGTGCACTGCAGAGTGACCTTTCCAAATGGCCATGCGAACACAGGTACCAAAGACTAGAGGCAGGGGACCAGGGGTCCTGGAATCTGCCTTCAAACTATTCCTTGCCCCCCATCTAAACCACGAGTGTAGCTGCCTTGGCTTGTGGAAATTGTATGACTTAGTTTCCCAGTGGTTGATATGGCCAAGACCCAATGCCACAGCCACTGACAGGCCCCTCTATGTACAGGGAGAAGTCTAATTCTCAGGCTGATGCTCAATTGACAGTGCTGATGGTGGTAGTGGTGGAAATGATAGATTGTATTTCATGGATTCTTACTCTCTGTAGGCCCTATGATAAGCCTAGGTTTTATTGATAACCTAGAGTGATGTGTTACGGTTCCCATCTTACAGAGGAGGATATTTGGTTTCAGAGAGAAAGTAGAGCAATTTGTCTAGTATCACCCATTAGTAATTAGCGGAACTCAAAATTCAAACTCAGGTTCACCTGGCTCTAAATGCCTTAGTCTTTACATTATGGTAGCTTTTCCCATAGAGGAAGAAGATAAATAATCTAAGTCCAGGCCAGGCGCAGTGGCTCACACCTGCATTCCCAGCACTTTGGGAGGCCAAGGCAGGTGGATCACCTGAGGTCAGGAGTTTAAGACCAGCCTGGCCAACATGGTGAAACCCCATCTCTACTAAAAATACAAAAATTAGACGGGTGCAGTGGTGTGCGCCTGTAATTCCAGCTACTCAGGAGGATGAGGCAGGAGAATCACTTGAACCCGGGACATGGAGGTTGCAACCAGCCGAGATCACACCACTACACTGCAGCCTGGGTGACCCAGTGAGACTCTGTCTCAAAAAAAATAAAAATAAAAATAAAGAATATAAGTCCTGTGTTTTAAGTGCCACCTGTGTTATTCAAAAGAACTTTTTTTCTTTTTTTTTAGTTCAGAGAAGGGGAGAGAGCAGGGTGGCATGAGGGGAGGACTAGGATGATAAAATGTTAAGAAAGATTTGAAGGAAGATGTAAGCTTTACCAAAATTAAAAAGTAAAGGGAGTAAGTGGGGGGAAAAGGTGCAGAACAGTGTAATGTGTCACTACTTGTGGAAAAAATTATACTCAACACTTTTGTATATACTCAGCAGATCTTCTGGAAGAAGAGGTAAGAATCTGATAACTGCAGTTGCCTCCAGGGCAGGGAATTTAGGTGTCTGGACAGGAAAGGAATTATTTTATTTTCTTTGTGAACACTTCTGATATAAATTAGATGTTTGTCCCCTCCAAATCTCATGTTGAAACATAATCCCCAGTGTTGAAAGTGGGGCCTAGTGGGAGGTGTTTGGGTCATGGGGGCAGATCCCTCATGAATGGCTTGGTGCTGTCCTTGTGATAGTGAGTGAGTTCTTACTCTTGAGTTCACAGGAGACCTGGCTGTTTAAAGGAGTGTGGCACCTCCCCCGCCCCTTCTTGCTCCTGCCCTCACCACTGTGATATGCTGGCTCCCAGGCCTTCTACCATGATCTTAAGCTTCCTGAGGCCTCCCCAGAAGCCGATGCCAGCGCCACGCTTCCTGGAAAGCCTGCAGAACCTTTAGCCAATTAAGCTAAAGGTTCTTTATAAATTAGTCAGCCTCAGGTATTTCTTTACAGCAACCCCAAAACAGCCTGACACACTTTCTATATGTTCTGAGTTTCGCCCTCAATAACTGAATACAGCTAATTTTTTTAACTTAACACTTGACTGAAGTAAATAGTATCAGTATAGAGTGTTCATTACTGAATATTCATTACTTAGGATTCTGCAGTTACAAGGTCACTTAGGAAAGCAGAAATCTCCATAATTTAGAGATATTCACTTAAGAACTATTCATTTATAAACCTACTCTCACCGGGCGCGATGGCTCACGTCTGTAATCACGGCACTTTGGGAGGCCGAGGCGGGTGGATCACCTGAGGTCAGGAGTTCGAGACCAGCCTGACCAACATGGAGAAACTCCATCTCTGCTAAAAAATATAAAATTAGCCCGGCATGATGGTGCATGCCTGTAATCCCAGCTACTCGGGAGGCCGGGAGTCTGAGGCAGGGGAATCACTTGAACCCAGGAGGCGGAGGTTGTGGTGAGCTGAGATTGCACCATTGCACTCCAGCCAGGGCAACAAGAGCGAAACTCCATCTCAAGAAATAATAATAATAAAAAAATAATTAAACTACTCTCTATTAGTAAATGGGTTGATGATGAGCATTGAATCTTTTTTAAGTATAGAATTATAACACCTGTGAGAATTCTATTACAAAATAGAATATAAATGTTGAAAGCCTATCTATGAAATTATATTTTACAAAAAATTGGCAGAGGAGAGATACTCTTTACATCTTTCAGAATGGGAGATTGATAAAGTTTAAAGCTATTAAATCAAGTTATAAAGGGTTAAGTATACTCTTTAAAGATATAAAAGTGACCACTAGAGGAACTGAAAATCCTAATGAAGCTGGGTGCCGTGGCTCACGCCCGTAATCCCAGCACTTTAGAGGAGGCCAAGGCATGAGGATCACTTGAGCCCAGGAGTTTGAGACCAGTCTGGGCAACAAAATGAGACCCAGTGTCTAAAAAAAATAAAAAAATTAGCCAAGCATGGTGGCACGCACACCTGTGGTCCCAGCTACACAGGAGGCTGAGGCAGGAGGATTGCTTGAGCCCAGGAGGTCAATGCTTCAGTGAGCCACTGAATATATAAATATATATAATATGTAGACTTCCTTTGGTTCCTGATTCAAAAATTATTAACTGAGAAAACATTTATAAGACAGAGAAATTTGAACACAGACTGGATTTTTTTATATTAAGGAGTTCATTGTTAATATGTTTAGAGTCCTTATATTATGGAAATTCACGTTGAAGTATTTTTGTTTGAAATAATTGGGTATCTGGGATTGACTTCAAAATCATACAGTAGGGGAGCCGGGGATGAGCTGGGTGGAGTGTAGATGAAATACGATTAGCTGAGTGTTGGTAGTTCCTGAAACCAGGTGATGGGAGTTCATTCTACTATTTTTCTAGTTGTGTATGTTTGAAATTTTCTACGATATTAAGAAGTACAGCTGGGTGCGGTGGCTCACACCTGTAATCCCAGCACTTTGGGAGGCCGAGGCAGGCAGATCACGAGGTCGGGAGTTCGAGACCAGCCTGACCAACATGGAGAAACCCCATCTCTACTAAAAATACAAAATAAGCTGGGCATGGTGGCGCGCACCAGTAATCCCAGCTACTTAGGAGGCTGAGGCAGGAGAATTACTTGAACATGGGAGGTGGAGACTGTAGTGAGCTGAGATTGCAACATTGCACTCCAACCTGGACAACAAGAGTGAAACTCCGTCTCAAAAAAAAAAAAAGAAGAAGTAAATAAAAATTATTGAATAACAAAAATGCAAAATGAATAATCTTATATATGCGCTATGATTATAACTGTTAAAATAGGAATGAATATGGAAGGGGTATTATAATTATCTTGGGGTGGTGAAGTGTGGTAAGTTTCCTGATCTCCAAATTCTCTGTGGTCCTGTGAATTTTACTTCTGTATTTTCACCAAAAGGTTGGGAGTGATCATGGCCCACCCTGCAACCTCTTCTTACATGGGCCACCCTTTCTTACCACGTGACTAAAATCTGTTAGCATTTATCTTGGAATCATGTGGCTCCCTGTGCACAGTATCTTGGCAGTGCACTCTTTGAGGATATAATGAATAACCCCTGTTATATGGTGAGTTTTTGATAATTGTGTTGTTCTGAACTGGTGAAGGTAAATGGCACCAGTTCCTGATGATGCTAAATACAGGATGTGTGAAAAGGCCCTTTGACTAAGAATTCCAAGTATCAGCTAGATACCAGAATTAAAATAATAGAGGAGGCCGGGTGCAATGGCTCATGTCTGTAATCCCAGCACTTTGGGAGGCTGAGGTGGGCTGATCACCTGAGGTCAGGAGTTCAAGACCAGCCTAGCCAACATGGTGAAACCCCGTCTCTACTAAAAATACAAAAATTAGCCAGGCATGGTTGCGGGTTCCTGTAATTCCTGCTACTCAAGAGGCTGAGGCAGGAGAATTGCTTGAACCCTGGAGGCTGAGGTTGCAGTAAGCTGAGATCGCACCACTGCACTCCAGCCTGGGCAACAGAGTGAGACACCGTCTTAAAAAAAAAAAAAAAAAAGATAGAGGAAGTTAGGGGTTAGGTAGTAAGGCAGCTACAGACTTGAAGCTATTCATTCCAAGAGGTGGCAGTGCCGGGAAGTGGGAAGAGAATGATAGCTGTTTATGTTGGTATTGGGGTGTAAGGGTTGTCTCCATCAGGAGACTACTGGAAGGCATGATTAGGGGATGGAGCAAGGGCTCACGTTTGTGTGAGCCTTCACCCCTAACCAGGACTGTGAAGGCTAAACTGTCCTTGGTTTTATTCCCAGGCCTGGTGAGTAACGTGGTATTCACCAGTCACACCACGGAGCAGCGGCACCCTCTCCTTGTTCAGCTGCAGAGCCTCATCAGGGCTGCCAATCCTGCTGCAGCCTTCATTCTTGCAGAAAATGGGATTGTCACCAGGTAATCTATAGATTCACTCTGCAAGACCAGTTGCTTTCTCAGATACAGCACTCTGTCTGTGGCCCACAGAGTCTTTCTACTGTATCTAAGACCTAAACATTTGGAGAAGTCAGTTTTTGAGCCAGGTGCGGTGGCACGCACCTATAGTCCCAGCTACTCGGGAGGCTGAGAAGGGAGGATCACTTGAATCCAGGAATTGGAGGCTGCAGTGAGCAATGATTGTGTCAGTGCATTCCACAGCCTGAGAGACAGAGCAAGACCCCATCTCTTTAAAAAAAAAAAAAAAAAAAGCAGGCTGGGCACAATGGCTCGTGCCTGTAATCTCAGCATTTTGGGTGGCTGAGGTGGGAGGATCTTGAGTCAGGAGTTTGAGACCAGCCTGGACAATATAGTGATACTCCATCTCGAAAAAGAAAAAATATATTGGAAAAAGAAAAAAAACAGTTTTTGAAGTGTTTTTTTTTTTTTTGAGACGGAGTCTCCCTCTGTCGTCCAGGCTGGAGTGCAGTGGCGCGATCTCGGCTCACTGCAAGCTCCGCCTCCCAGGTTCACGCCATTCTCCTGCCTCAGCCTCCTGAGTAGCTGGGACTACAGGCGCCCGCCACCACGCCCGGCTAATTTTGTTTTTGTATTTTTAGTAGAGACGGGGTTTCACCATGTTAGCCAGGATGGTCTCAATCTCCTGACCTTGTGTTCCGCCTGCCTCGGCCTCCCAAAGTGCTGGGATTACAGGCGTGAGGCACCACGCCTGGCCGAAGTGCTTTAGATGCTCTGTAAAAATCACCAAGAAGACCCCATCGTGTACCATTTTGAGGCATTTTGTTTTGATCCATTCACATTCTCATCCATTGAAGGATGGTAGCCAAGATTCTCTTAACATCCTTGTATTAAAGTGTGAAAGAAATGGCATAGAGAACGTAGAGAAGGGTCGGATGTGATGGCTCAACCTGTAATCCCAGCACTTAGGGAGCCCAAAACTCCTTGCAGGAGTTCAAGACCAGCCTGGGTAAAATAGTGACACTCTGTCTCTACCAAAACAGTTTTTTAAAAAAACAGCCAGCATGGTTGTGCATGTCTGTAGTCTCAGCTACTCAGGAGGCTGGGCAGGAGGATTGCCTGAGCCCAGGAGTTTAGGGTTATACTGAGCCATGATCACACCATTGCACTCCAGCCTGAGCGAAGTAGTGAGACTTTGTCTATTAAAAAAAAAAAAAAAAAGTGGCCGGGTGCAGTGGCTCACGCCTGTAATCCCAACACTTTGGGAGGCCAAGGCAGGCGGATCACAAGGTCAGGAGATTGAGACCATCCTTGTTAACACGGTGGAACCCCGCCTCTATATTTAAAAAAATACAGAAATTAGCCAGGTGTGGTGGCAGGCACCTGTAGCCCCAGCTACTTGGGAGGCTGAGGGAGGAGAACGGCGTGAACCTGGGAGGCAGAGCTTGCAGTGAGCCAAGACCGCACCACTGCACTCCAGCCAGCCTGGGCAACAGAGCCTCTGTCTCAAAAAAAAAAAAAAAAAAAAAAAAGTAACATAGAGATATTATCTCTTTACTTCATGGACTTGGGTTCAAATTACAAACTAAAAATAGAGAATTAGTGATTTTGTTTGTGTACACACATATACGAGGAGAAAACACCTGGTTATATAGCTGTTTTGTTTGCTCAATTCAGATAAAAGGTTATATACCTTTTTAATGTAGTTTTGACTTTTGAACTATGTAGATATTTTATGTATTCAAAAATTAAATAAAGGAGGGAAAAAACTAAATTAAATACAAACCAAAAAAAGCGAATCTAGGCTGGGTGCAGTGGCTCACGCCTGTAATCCCAGCACTTTGGGAGGCCAAGGCAGGCAGATCACGAAGTCAGGAGTTCGAGACCAGCCCTACCAACATGGTGAAACCCTGTCTCTACTAAAAATACAAAACTTAGCTGGGCATGGTGGCGCATGCCTATAATCCCAGCTACTCAGGAGACTGAGGCAAGAGAATCGCTTAAACCCAGGAGGCAGAGGTTGCAGTGAGCCAAGATCGTACCATTGCACTCCAGGTGGGCGACAAAGAGAAACTCCATCTCAAAAAAAAAAAGGGGCCGGGCACAGTGATTCATGCCTGTAATCCCAACACTTTGGGAGGGCGAGGCGGGCGTATCACCTGAGGTCAGGAGTTCAAGACCAGCCCAGCCTGGCCAACATGGCGAAACCCCGCCTCTACTAAAAATACAAAAAATTGGCCAGGCGTGGTGCCAGGCACCTGTAATCCCAGCTACTCAGGAGGCTGAGGCAGGAGAATTGATTGAACCTGGGAGGCGGAGGTTGCAGTGAGCCAAGATCATGCCATTGCACTCCAGCCTGGGCAACAAGAATGAAACTCCATCTCAAAATTAAAAAAAAAAAAAAAAAGTAAACCTATCTGTATATCAAAGTAATAACAGCCACACCAAGAAAAGTATTTAATTCAAGTAACTTTTGAACATAATCCTCTGCTGGAACCCTGGTTCTAAACAACATCACTGATTGAAGAGAGGAGATTATGAATATGAAATGGGGAAGATGAAGAAAAACCCTTCAAATATTTATTTTATTTTATTTAGACAGAGTCTTGCTCTGTCACCCAGGCTGGAGTGCCGTGACACGATCTCAGCTCACTGCAACCTCCACCTCCTGGATTCAAGTGATTCTCTTGCCCCAGCCTCCCTAGTAGCTGGGATTACAAGTGCATACCACCATACCAGACTAATTTTTCTATTTTTAGTAGTGGCAGGGTTTCACCATGTTGGCCAGGCTGGTGTTGAACTCCTGGCCTCAAGTGATCCACCCACCTCGGCCTCCCAAAGATCAAATGTTGATTTGAATTGGAGATTCAATATAAATTCATTATTTTTAAAAATGTATATTTCCTACCATTTTCCTTTGAAAGGGACCAGAATAGTAATACCACAGTTGCAGCAAATACCCTTACCTCTGTATCTTGGTTTCTAAGTACCAGTCCCCACTACAAGGTACCAGGACTCCTTGGAGAATTAGCTGACTGCATGCCTAGGTCAAGGAAAGTACAAGGTGAGCCTGGTCCATTTTATGCCAATAAAGCAAGGAAGTACTCAAAGATTAGTGGAGATGTGTCAAAAGGATATGGGAAGTAGCTTAAGAAGTTCCTGCTAGTCTAATTTGGGACAATTTGGGGATAAGAAAGAACCATGATAATACTGGAACTATGAATTATAACACATGGAATAAAATGTGTGTCCACAGTGATCCTCAAAAACAAAGGTGGGGCCAGGCACGGTGGCTCACACCTGTAATCCCAGCACTTTGGGAGGCCGAGGCAGGCAGATCACCTGAGGTCGGGAGTTCGAAATCAGCCTGACCAATATGGCAAAACCCCATCTCTATTAAAAATATAAAATTAGCCGGGCATGGTAGTGCATGCCTGTGATTCCAGTTACTCAGGAGGCTGAGGCAGGAGAATGGCTTGAACCCAGGAGGCGGAGCTTGCAGTGAGCCGAGATTGCGCCATTGCACTCTAGCCTAGGCAACAAGAGCGAAACTCCATCTCAAAAAAAAAAAAAAGGTGGAAGGGGGCAGGATAGCAAAGCCCTTTATAGAAGAATACCAAGTAAATAAGGTTTGATAGAACTAGAAAATAATCAGCCGAGCATGGTGGCTCAGGCCAGTAATCCCAGCACTTTGGGAGGCTGAGGCGGGCAGATCACAAGGTCAGGAGATCGAGACCATCCTGGCCAACACGGTGAAACCCCATCTCTACTAAAAATACAAAAAATAAGCCGGGCATGGTGGCGGGCACCTGTAGTCCCAGCTACTCAGGAGGCTGAGGCAGGAGAATGGCGTAAACCTGGGAGGCGGAGCTTGCAGTGGGCCGAGACCGCGCCACTGCACTCCAGCCTGGGCAACAGAGCAAGACTCCATCTCAACCATCTCAAAAAAACAAAAACAAAAGAACTAGAAAATAATCATTTTGTAACCTTCAGTCTAATACAGTATTTGATTTAGGGAACGATCAATGAATGCTAAAAGCACTAGGTGAAAGACTGTTGAAGAAAAAAAATATTACTAGTCCTGTACTGTGTAAAGTACCACTCCATAGACTACTGACTCCTTACAAAGAGGGAAAAATACCTTACAATGGAAAGGTCTGGTATACCTATGTTGAACAAACGATTAAACTCAGTGAGACCAGTAATGGGACAAACTGATACCCTGTACCTCCTTGATGTGATGCAGTGGGAAGGATGCAACACCACCTGGGTATTAATCTCAAAATATGCATAACCTGAATCTAATTATGAGAATTAGAAACAGACAAATCCAAGTGTGGGACACAAAAGCTCTGACATGTACTCTCAAATATCAACACCATGAGAATCAAACCAACCAAAAGATAGAGGAACTGTTCCAGGTTAAAGGAGAATAAAGATGATAAATTTAGGCCGGGTGCAGTGACTCACGCCTGTAATCCCAACGCTTTAGGAGGCTGAGGCAGGCGGATCACCTGGGGTCAGGAGTTCAAGATCAGCCTGGCCAACATGGCGAAACCCTGTCTCTATTTAAAAAATACAAAAATTAGCAGGGCGTGGTGGTGGGTGCCTGTAGTCCCAGCTACTTGGGAGGCTGAGGCAGGAGAATCGCTTGAACTCAGGAGGCGGAGGTTGCAGTGAGACGAGATCACGCCATTTCACTCCAGCCTGGGCAACAAGAGCGAAACTCTGTCTCAAAATTAAAAAAAAAAAAAAGGAATGTATCTGTATATCAAAGTAATAACAACCACACCAAAAAAAGTATTTAATTCAAGTAACTTTTGAACATAGTCTTTTTTTTTTTTTTTTTTTTTCTGAGACAGAGTCTCACTCTGTCACCCAGGCTGGAGTGCAGTGGCGTGATCTCGTCTCACTGCAACCTCCACCTCTCCACCTCCTGGGTTCAAGTGATTCTCCTGCCTCGGCCTCCTAAGTAGCTGGGACTACAGGCGCGTGCCACCACGCCCAGCTAATTTTTGTATTTTTTTAGTAGAGATGGGGTTTCGCCATGTTGGCCAGGCTGGTCTTGAACTCCTGACCCCAGGTGATCCGCCTGCCTCGGCCTCCCAAAGTGCTGGGATTACAGACATGAGCCATCGCGCCCGGCCTAATGAATGATTCTTGATTGGATCGTGGACCCTCCCCCACCAAAAAGGGGAAATTTGAAAGTGGATGTATGTTCATGCTTCTCCAGCTTTGTGGTGCATATGCATCTCTAGTGGAGATCTTGTTGAAAATTAGTTTCTGGTTCAGTACATCTGGGCTGGGGGCTGAGGTTCTGCATTTCTAACAAGCTCCCAGGTGATTGCTGGGAGCCAGTAAATTCCTTGGATGTGATCATGATATCGTAGTTCTGTAAGAGAATGTCCTTGTTCTTGGGAGATGCATACTGAAGTATTTAGGGGTAAAATATCATGATGAGTACAGCTAATTTTCATTTGGTTTGGCAGAAAAAAACAAAAATGCTTGTATGTATTTAGGGGACATGAAGAATAAACAAAACGTGCAGGTAAAGTCAGTCCTGGCCGGGCTCGGTGGCTCATGCCTGTAATCCCAACACTTTGGGAGGCCGAGGCAGGCGGATCATGAGGTCAGGAGATTGAGACGATCCTGGCCAACATGGTGAAACCCCGTCCCTACTGAAAGTACAAAAATTACCTGGGTATGATGGCACATGCCTGTAGTCCCCGCTACTCAGGAGGCTGAGGCAGGAGAATCACTTGAACCCGGGAAGCGGAGGTTGCAATGAGCCAAGATTGCACCACTGCACTCCAGCCTGGCGACAGAGCGAGACTCCGTCTCAAGAAAAAAAAAAAAGAGATTGACAGTCCTAATTAATCTAGGTCTTTTCTGTGTGTTTTCAAAGGAATGAAGACATTGAGCTGATTCTCTCAGAAAACAGTTTTTCAAGTCCTGAGATGCTACGATCTCGATATTTAATGTATCCTGGCTGGCAAGTATCATCATTGAAAAATAACTAAGATTTTTTTGTAAACCCAATGATTTATTTATTTACAGAAAAAAAAAAAGAGAGAAGGTGAAAATACCAGATGTGCTTTGCAAGGGTGACACATGGCAGCTGGCACGGCCTGCCTGTCCGGCAGCTGCTGGCCTTGCCAGGAGCCCAGTGCTCCACCTCTTGGGCTCCAAACTGCGAGCCTTCTTAGATGTTTCAATTTAGGGAATCATCCTGTAGGCAGCAAGCACCGCTGTGCCCTGTGTTCCTCCAGCCCCTACTGAGGGCAAAGTGCCTGGCACAGAACCAAGGAGCTATAACTTTCCCAGGTGAGACTCGCTTCTGACAATACCGTCAGTCAGTCCTCTAGGGTTCCCATCTGCTGGGTTCCCTGCTCATATGGCCCAGGGAATGTTCTCTGTAGGATGCTGCACAGCCTGTGGACCTCTCCAGAGGAGAAGAGGACAAAGGAGAGAGTGTGCTGCAAAGTTACTGTAATCATACTAATACCAACACGCTGGAACATTTACTGTGTGTGCTAGCTATTGTTCAAAGACTCCACTCTCTATATGGCAGCTCCTAGCCACATGGCTATTTAATGAAATGTAAATTAATAAAAATCAAAATTTATAATTCAGTCTTTCAGCCACACAGCCACATTTCAAGTGCTTCATAGCTTCCTGTGGCTGGCAGCTACCGTGTCCAACAGTGCAGATCTAGAACATTTCCATTGCCCCAGAAGGCTCTGTTGAACAGTGCTGTTGTGAGAGCTTTGTTTGTGTTGTCTCATTTACACCAATCCTGTGAAGTGGATTCCGTTATTTTATCATTTTACAGATAAGGTACCAGGGGCAGCAAAGAGTTAATGACTTGACAATTTATAGCTTAGTAGATGAAAGAACTGGATTTCAAACCCAGGTTGAATGGCTCAGAGCTTTTTCTCTTAGGCATCGTGCTACACTTATTCCTGTATAGCATGGACAATTTGTTTCTGCTCTGTTGAAGGTTTAGGGGAAGACATTGTTAAAGCTTGGCCAGAATTAATCTCTCATGTTTATTTGGATTATCTTTGTTATTCTTACTCACTTTTCCCAAGCACCTCTCTACATCCTCCATACCACCCCTTACACCACCAACTTTTTTCGTAACAAAAAATGATCTGGCCAGGCTTGGTGGCTCACGCCTGTAATCCCAGCACTTTGGGATGCCGAGGCGGGCAGATCACAAGGTCAGAAGATCGAGACCATCCTGGCTAACGTGGTGAAACCCCATCTCTACTGAAAATACAAAAAATTAGCCAGGTGTGGTGGTGGATGCCTGTAGTCCCAGCTACTTGGGAGGCTGAGGCAGGAGAATGGTGTGAAGCTGGGAGGTGGAGCTTGCAGTGAGCTGAGATCACGCCACTGCACTCCAGCTTGGGCGACAGAGCGAGACTCCGTCTCAAAAAAAAAAAAAAAAAAAAAAAAAAAGATCTGCTATGCTGTAAAAAACAAAACCAAAAAAATCCCAGAGGGTCAGTATGTAAAATTAAATGTTTTCAGGCATATTCTTAGAAGGAATCTCTGATTTGAATCATGTCATACTTAAACAGTGAGTAAGTGGGTCATTTCTTATGTCTGAACAAGATAATGATATCTTAGCTAAAAATAAACAAATGGAGCTTCTGGGGGAACCTTCTTTCCAGTGGCTACAGCCACTGACTCTCTTGCTGCCTGAACCTCTGGGTCATGAGGCTCCTGTAATCACCACCAGGTGCCTAGAGAAGTGCTGTTCTCCAGTCCTTACTGACTCATACACAAGAAGCTAGCTCAGGGCCCAGACACCTGGAGGCAGACTAATCCAGGAGAGAGTAGGGTAAGAGGGGCCCATTAGAAGACTGTGAATCTGGCCGGATGTGGTGGCTCACACCTGTAATCCCAGCACTTTGGGAGGCCAAGGCAGGTGGACCATGAGGTCAGGAGTTCGAGATCAGCCTGGCCAACATGGTGAAACCCCGTCTCTATTAAAAATACAAAAGTTAGCCGGGCATGGTGGCAGGCACCTGTAGTCCCAGCTACTTGGGAGGCTGAGGCAGGAGAATGGCGTGAACCCGGGAGGCGAAGCTTGCAGCAAGCCAAGATCGCACCACTGCACTCCAGCCTGGGCAACAAGAGCAAAACTCCGTGTCAAAAAAAAAAAAAAAAAAAGAATGTGAACTTTTTCCTCATCAGGAAGATCAGTCCTTATAGAGAATCAGAGATGGAGGGACCCCAAAATTCTCTTTCAGGCCCCCTCCTAAGTCCATTTCTAGGAATCAGATAATTTCATCTTTAACAAGATGGCAGTCATCAGTCTCCTACTCATCTCTATATATTACTCCCCTCTCACGTGGGTCAGAGCCACCACCTCAGAGTGAATGGGCTTTAGTTCCAGGATATGCTCCGCTCTGTGCTGTGCACACATTCTCTGCCACTTCCCTCCCACATCCTTCTCTGTTCGCATCCACCCTCCTTCCACATTTTCTGGTAGAACAGCTTGTTTCTAGTTTGGGCAGAAACCTTGCTGCCTTCCCTTAGCCCCTGCAAATTCCCCTAAGGATTCAGGTACCACAGAAGCCAGAGGCCAGAGAAACCCCCAGTCTCCAAAATGACTTGTTTGGATGGGGAGAAGACAGGTCAGTCTTGCAAAAATCTTATGCCTACTACCTTCTTTAAAGAAATTAAGAAGAATAAGATACTTTCAACAATTTAAAATTAAAATTGCAGTGCTGTTTTAAAATAAAGGAAACAGGGGCAGGTGCGGTGGCTCACACCTGTAATCCCAGCACTTTGGGAGGCCAAGGTGGGTGGATCACGAGGTCAGGAGTTCAAGACCAGCCTGGCCAACATGGTGAAACCCCATCTCTATTAAAAATACAAAAATTAGCTGGGCGTGGTGGTGGGCACCTGTAATCCCAGCTACTCGGGAGGCTGAGGGGGAGAATTGCTTGAACCTGGGAGGTGGAGGTTGCAGTGAGCCGAGATCGTGCCACTGCGCTCCAGCCTGGGTGACAGAGCAAGACACCATCTCAAAAAAATAAAATAAAATTAATTAATTAATTAATTAAAATAAAGGAAACAGGCTAGGCACAGTGACTCATGGCTATAATCCCAGCACCTTGGGAGGCTGTGGAGGGAGGATCACTTGAGGCCAGGAGTTCAAGACCAGCCTGGGCAGCATAGTGAGACCTTGTCTCTAATAAAAAATCAAAAGTAGTTGGGCATGGTGGCATGTGTCGTAGCAACTACTCAAGAAGCTGAGGTGGGAGGATCACTTGAGCCTGAGATGTCAAGGCTGTAATGAGCTATGATCACACCACTGCACTCCAGCCTGAGCAACAGAGCAAGACCCTGTCTCAAAGAAAATAGAGCAGAGATGCCCCAGTTCCTTCTGTGACAGGTGTACACATCTATATGTACAACCTGTTATGCTGCCTGCAACAAAATGGCGGGGCATAGTTGGAGCCCTTAAAGAAATGGGAGCAAGACCGGCTATGGTGGCTTACACCTGTAATCCTAGCACTTTGGGAAGTTGAGGTGGGCAGATCACTTGAGGCCAGGAGTTTGAGACCAGCCTGGCCAACATGGCAAAACCTCGTCTCTACAAACAATACAAAAATTAGCTGGGTGTGGTGGCGCACACGCCTGTGATCCCAGCTACTCAGGAGGCTGAGGCAGGAGAATTGCTTGAACCCAGGAGGCGGAGATAGCAGGGAGCCAAGATCGCACCACTGCACTCCAGCCTGGGAAACAGAGGGAGACCTTGTCTCAAAAAAAAAGAGAGAGAAATGGGAGGGCATCCTGAGCAAGAGCCCCCCACCGTACCAGGAAGGACCCCCAAACTCAGATGGGGACTGGGAGGCTTCAGAGGTACACAGGGTCTTTGACATCAAGGAACTGCTAGTCTAAGGTTAGGTAAAACCTTCATCCTCAGCTCCTGATTTAACTGGGCAGTCATGCTTCCCAGTCTCAAAATGAAAGAGGCATATACATATTTAAACAAGTTTTTGTGTGCAAAATGGCATAGATGTAAGGGAGAATTCAAATATTTGTACTTAAAATTTTTTTTTTTGAGACGGAGTCTTGCTCTGTCGCCCAGGCCGGACTGCGGACTGCAGTGGCGCAATCTCGCCTCACTGCAAGCTCCGCTTCCCGGGTTCACGCCATTCTCCTGCCTCAGCCTCCCGAGTAGCTGGGACTACAGGCGCCCGCCACCGCGCCCGGCTAATTTTTTGTATTTTTAGTAGAGACGGGGTTTCACCTTGTTAGCCAGGATGGTCTCGATCTCCTGACCTCATGATCCACCCGCCTCGGCCTCCCAGAGTGCTGGGATTACAGGCGTGAGCCACCGCGCCCGGCCTGTACTTAAAATTTTTTAAACCTTTTAAGGTATGAAGGTAAATTGAATGCTGGATCAGTCTATCCCCTAATGGTTCAGATCTGCGTATGGTTTGGCCGTCCCTTGGAGAAGACTCGCTTTGTGGCCAAATGTAAAGGTAAGCCTTGACTGAGATGTCCTAGACACTGGAAAAAGGGTGTCCCAGAGTTAATTCTGCCTCCTGGTACCATTTCAGTATTCTATGTGCTGTATGTCTTCTTACCTTTTGAAACCAAAAGTAGACAGAGGGATTTGAGGATTGTGGGTGGTCACACAATTTGGTCTCCACTCCAGTGAAAGGGTTTTCCCTCCCCTGGGAACAGTGGCAGAGCCACAGGGGAGCAACAGGGTGTGGCGGGTAGAACCTGTGAACCCTAGACCCTGGTGTATGGTCCCTCCCCAGTCCCTAAAACTCCCAGCTGTGCTGTCCTGAATTTGGCCTGTGCCTCCATGTGGGTGACAGCGCTGTCCTCTTCTTCCACCAGCAATTCAGTCCTCCATCAAGCCAAGTCCCTTCTCCGGAAACATCTACCACATCCTGGGCAAAGTGAAGTTTTCAGGTAACCAGGGGCTGGGATTTGGGAGCTCTACACCATGGAGTGCTTGCATCTCATGATGTGAGTTCAGAGCCTCTGCTGGTGCTCTGCAGACCACTGATGCTGCTCAGACTCTCAGAAACCTTCCCCACCCTGGGCCTTCACGCCATCAGGCTTGTCCATCACCCCTCTCCGCCAAGGGCCTACTTAGTCTGGGTCCTCCTGTTCCATGGCAGAGGTTTGCCCTCCTCGCCTGGATGACCTGCTCAGGGGCTCTTCTCACAGCTTTTTGACCTTCTTGTTCAGAGCCTTACACTCCACACCTCTTGAGCCAGTCATGGCCTCCTCTAGACCTAAAACCAGGAGCTGCCCCAGTGCTGAGCTCTTCAGCTCTAGATCCATTTCTGACCAAAGTCTTTGAGCTTCTGTTTGCCTTCTCCTCTCTTCTGACTAGTAGGCCTGAGGATCAGTTTAGACCTCTGGAGCCCTTGCTGTCCTGGAGTGGGCATCAGAGAAGGCCTCAAAACCAGTAGGAGTCAGTCAACTCAATGTTGAGGAAAGGTACAGTATTCCAGGGGAAGGAAATAGCATTTGCTATAATCCAGAGGCAGAAAAGACACATTTCAGGAACCAAAAAGCATTTACCGTAACTGGAGCCTGGGAGTAGGGAGAGAGGGAGTGCGTCTGTTAGGGTGTCTTCAGCTGTTATCACAGAGAACCCCCACTCAGCTAGCAGGTGTTGGCTGTATAACAAGTGAGGCGCTCAAGCAGCAGAGCAAGGCCACTGAGGAGCCAGGTGATGTATGTCTTCGTGTCCTCCCCTTCTTGGTGTGTCAGCTTGTCTTTCAGGTTCCTGCCCCTTATGGTTGCCAAGTGGTGCTACAGGTCTGGGTGTCAAAGCCAGACACTGCATCCAGCCAATGAGGAGAGGCTGGCTCTTCCTGTGGGTGCCTTTGTCAGTGCAGCGCCTCCCCCAATTTCTCTGCCGACTTATCTCATTGGATTGCTGTGCCTTTCTGGACCCATCACCCATGGGGTATTGGTATTGGAAGAAGAGGGAGACAATATGGGGGGTCGGCAGCTATCAGTTTCTGCTGTAGGGGACCACTGAGGGCTCCAAGCATAGAACCATCATGGTTCAGATGGGAGAATTACATGGGTCCTTAGCTCATAGCTTTTGCTTGATTTATGTGATCAAATCAGAAACTTCGGCCCCACACCCAAGCCCACTAATCTCAGGCTCCAACAGCCAGCCCCTGCTGCTTCAGAGGTCTTGGTACTTTTGTTTTTCCCTCTCACCCATCACCTCCTTTTCTTCTTTTTTTTTATTTCTTTTTTGGCTGGGTGCAGTGGCTCACGCCTGTAATCCCAGCACTTTGGGAGGCCGAGGCAAGAGGATCACTTGAGGTCAGGAGTTCGAGACCAGCCTGGCCAATATGGTGAAACCCCATCTCTACAAAAAATAAAAAAAATTAGGCCAGGCTCGGTGGCTCACACCTGTAATCCCAGCACTTTGGGAGGCCAAGGCAGGCAGATCATTTGAGGCCAGCAGTTTGAGACCAGTCTGACCAACATGGTGAAACCCTGTCTCTACTAAAAATACAAAATTAGCTGGGTGTGGTGGCGGACACCCACCTACTGTAGGACACCACCTAGCTGTAATCCCAGCTACTTGGGAGGGTGAGACAGGAGAATCACTTGAACCTGGGAGATGGAGGTTGTAGTGAGCCAAGATTGTACCACTGCACTCCAGCTTGGGCAACAAGAGCAAAACTCTGTCTCAAAAAAAAAAATTAGCCGGGCATGGTGGCACATGCCTTTAATCCCAGCTACTTGGGAGGCTGAGGTAGGAGAATCACTTGAACCCAGGAGGCGGCCGTTGCAGTGAGCCGAGATTGTGCCACTGCACTCCAGCCTGGGCGACAGAGTGAAACTCCGTCTCAATAAAATAAATAAATAAATATTTTTATTTCTTTCTTCTTTTTATTTTTTGAGACAATGTCTCACTTTGTCACCTAATCCAGAGTATAGTGGTTTGATCTCGGCTCACTGCATCCTTGACCTCCCAGGCTCAAGCGATCATCCTACCTCAGCCTCCCAAGTAGCTGGGACTATAGGCGTGAACCACCATGCCTGGCTGATTTTTTTTCTTTTTTGTGGAGACAAGGTCTCCCTATGTTGCCCAGGCTGGTCTCGAATTCCCGGGCTCAAGTGATCCTCCTGCCTCGGCCTCCCAAAGTGCTGGAATTAAGGTATTAGCCACCACACCCAGCCTCTTGTTTATTTAGATCTGCTATTGACTCTTTTTTTGTTCAAATTTAACCTCGCTTTTTTCCGGATCCTTTCTCATCCTGCCTTTCAGGGAGCCCTTGCCCACTTCTTGGGTCTCCAGTCACTCCTAGCCCTCATCTCCTTAGCATGTAACACTTTTTCCCATTCTCATCTGTGTGACCTTCGTGCAACACTGCTGTACTGGTTTTTTTGTCTGTTTTGTTTTGTTTTTGAGACAGGGTCTTGCTCTGTTGCCCAGGCTGGAGTGCAGTAGTGCAATCCTAGGTCACTGCCCACCCCAGCCTCCCAAGTAACTGGGACTACAGGAACATACCATCACACCCAGCTAATTTTTTTGTTGTACTGTTGGCTGTGCCCTCCTCCCTTGGCCTCTGAGGCCTCTGCTGAGAGCCCCCCACTTCTACCAAGGGGGTTTCTTTGCTTTTCCTCAACCACCTCTTCCATAACAGCTATTCCAGCAACCACCAGGGACTATGTGGATGTCTCACGCTCAGGGTCTTAGAGACTTTCAAATGCCACAAGTGCAGAGTCAAACTCTTCCTCTTCTCCCACCTATAAACCTTTTTTTTCTCTTGTGTTTCCCTTCTGGGATAATAGTGTCCACCTGATCACCCAGATCAGCCAAGCCAGAAACTTATTTTGTTCCTCTCTGTCTCTCTCTCTTACTCCATCCTTTCTTTTCCTTTTTAAAAAACAAAACAAAATGGGATCTCCCTCTGTCACCCAGGCTGGAGTACAGTGGCGCAATCTCAGCTCACTGCAGCCTTGAATTCCTGGGCTCAAGTGCTCCTCCTGCCTCAGCCTCCTGAGTAGCTGGGACCACAAGCATGAGCCACTGTGCCCACCTACTCCATCCTTTCTAAGCTGCCACCAGTCACATCAGTTCTGTCTCTTGCATTTTCTCATGAATCTATCCCAACCATCTGCATTGTCACAGTCTTAGCATAGCTGTATCCTTTCAAGGCAGGCTCTCAGGGACTAATGTGTATTCTCCTTACAGACTCTGAGAGGACCATGGAGGTCTGCTACAACACACTGGCCAACTCCTTGAGCATCATGCCAGTTTTGGAAGGACCCACACCACCACCAGACTCCAAAAGCGTATCTCAAGACAGCAGCGGGCAGCAGGAGTGCTACCTTGTGTTCATCGGCTGCTCCCTGAAGGAAGACAGCATCAAGGACTGGCTGCGGCAGTCAGCTAAGCAGGTGGTTTCCAGAGCCCAGACAGACCTGACACAGATGTGACCAGACACCTCAGAGCTGCTGTTGGCCCTGAGAAGCCCCGCCACTGCCTCCCTGATGCCTCCCCACTGGGCTTCCTCTCCCTGGCCCAGCCAGCACTTGCAGGGACACTTTGAGAGAGGGAGGAAGCCACTGAGAGCAAACTCCAGGCAGGCCTGCTATGTTGTTTGCTTTGTGAGCCAGGTTCTCTGCAAGGTTTGGGTGCTAAGCCTTGTAGCACAGCCTTGGGGGTTTAGTTCATCCTAGAACTCTGGGACTAGAGTTAGCTGGGGCCTGGCTCTTCTGCAGATGCTCACTAGGGACCTGTCTTTATGCTGAGGGATGGGCTGCCTCACTTGGATAAGCTTCTAAACGGTTCTTGACTGTGGGGCCTCAGACTGCCCCTTTGTCTGCCTCTCATTGGTAGGGTTGAGGGATAAGAATCTACAAAGAGGCACGACCATTCCCATTTACGAAAACACTGGGCTGTCCTCTGCTGCTTGTTCCCTGCTGGCTCACAGGGCTCTGTGATGGGAAAGTGGTTTTCTCAAAGAGCAGACTAGACAGAATATTATATCCAGGCCATAGCGCACGTGCTTTCCCCACTGCTGAGATCTTAGTTGTGTAATAGAGCCCAGAGCCCTCCCCTGCCCATGCACTCCATGAGTTCTGCTGGGACCTGACCCTCCACTCCCCATCTCTGCAGAAGCCTCAGAGGAAAGCCCTGAAGACCAGGGGGATGCTGACGCAACAGGAGATCAGGAGCATCCACGTGAGTGCCTTGCCCTGGCTTCTCCCCTCGGTGGCCCAGGGCTGTCCTCGGCTTGCCTAGCTCTGTATTTTGGATTCTCTGAGTGAGGAGCTGTTTGTAGGACATGCTGGAGGTCTTGCTTCTCCCAGGCCACAGAGGGAAGCTGCGTACAGAATTCTGGCCTTTGCAGCCTCAGTGAGGAGGGCACAGGAGACCTCTGGTGTGACCTGGGCATCAGATTGAGTAGAGCCAGTACTTGTGGGAGAAGCTGATGACCAGAAGCCCTGCCTTGGCACCTTGTTCAAGCAACTGCAGAAGACCTATGTTACAGATGAACCAGCTAGAGCCCAGGCAAAAACTGTCTGGATCCAGAGGCTGCTCATAGGAAGGCTGTGGAACCTGAGGCCAGGATAAGAGGCTGATTGAGAGACCCCCTTGATGAGCCTCCCAGCCTCCAGGCTCTGACCCCCAGCCTCTGCTTCAGTCGCCATGCTCACTGGGGCCTTTTCCTGAGGGGTTTGGGGACAAAAAGCTAAAAAGGACACAGAGTCTAGGTCCCCAGGATGCCAGTAATGAGCAGGTGGGGCAGGAAAGTATTCTGGGACTCCAGGAGCCCCTGCTTTGGATTTGAGGAGGCCCCTTTCATAAACAGCTCCTATAGGCCCGGACAACCTGGGTGCTCCTGGGGAGGACAACATGGGCATAAGGTAGTCCTTATAATGCATGTTCCCCTGAAAGCCAACCGTGAACAAGGAGTTAAGTACAGGTAGTTTATTTTGGAAGTGATTCTAGGAGACACTAAATAGGAAACAGGAGGATGAAAGAGGAGAGGGGGAAACAGCCAATAAAGAGTGTGTTTGTGGCCGGGCATGGTGGCTCACGCCTGTAATCCCAGCACTTTGGGAGGCTGAGGTGGGTGGATCACTTGAGGTCAGGAGTTCAAGACCAGCCTGATCAATATGGTGAAACCCTGTCTGTACTAAAAATACAAAAATTAGCCAGGCGTGGTGGCGCATGCCTGTAATCCCAGCTACTCGGGAGGCTGAGGCAGGAGAATTGCATGAACCCAGGAGATGGAGGTTGCAGTGAGCCAAGATCACGCCACTGCACTCCAACCTGGGTGACAAAGCAAGACTCTATCTCAAAAAAATAAATAAATAAATAAAAGAGTGTGTTTGCACATCAGTACCACTGCACACCGTGGGAACTTCATCCCACTAGGACCTCCCAGAGCTCCTCACCTGAGAGGTGGGGAACCACCTCAGGCAGGGCTTGAGGTTTGCCGGGGGTGTTAGCTTCCTAGCTCCTCTGTATAGCAGAGTAGTCTATCTTGCTAGGGAAATAGACTTGTTTGTTTTAATGAGTGAGTGAAGTATAGAAAGTAGTCAGATAATTATTACAGGTCTCTTTTCTCCTACAGGTAAAACGCCACTTGGAACCCCTACCTGCAGGCTACTTTTATAATGGCACCCAATTTGTTAACTTCTTTGGTGACAAAACTGATTTTCACCCACGTATCCTTGGAACAGCGTGGTCCCTGTGTGGAACCCGGGCAGTGAGGCTGGGAGTGTGTGACCCTGTCTGCAAAGCGGTTGTCTGCCAGAGCCATGCATTTGAGCCCCAGGAGCACTCTGCATGTCCACTGATGGGTCAGGAATGCACAGGGGCAAACCTCAGGGGCGAACTTTTCATTTCAGTCTCTAAAGCTGTTAAAGTTAAATTGCTCCTTTATTGAGTGATTGCTAATGTGACTCTGGGTTATAGTTTTTTGGTTTTGTCTTGTTTTAATTTTTTTTTGGAGATGGAGTTTCACTCTTGCTGCCCAGGCTGGAGTGCAATGGCGCAATCTCAGCTCACTGCAACCTCCGTCTCCCAGGTTCAAGTGATTCTCCTGCCTCAGCCTCCCGAGTAGCTGGGATTACAGGCGCCTGCCGCCGTGCCCGGCTAATTTTGTATTTTTAGTAGAAACGGAGTTTCTCCATGTTGGTCAGGCTGGTCTCAAACGCCTGACCTCAGGTGATCCTCCCACCTCAGCCTCCTGAAGTGCTGGGATTACAGACATGAGCCACCGCGCCCAGCTTAGAGACTAGGTCTCGCCATGTTGCCCAGGCTGGTCTCAAACTCCTGGGCTCAAGTGATCCATCTACCTCAGCCTCCCAAATTGCTAGTATGGCAGGCATGAGCCACTGCGCCCAGCCTGTGAGTTATAGTTTGGATGCAGCTGCGGTGATATCCTGAAGTCTGTCGTCATCAGAGTCACGATTTACAAGTCGAAGACAGCCTAATTACAACAGTTAACCTGTGAAAAGATGGATAGGGCTGAAGCTGAAGGGCTCAGTTCTAGGACCTCATTAACATCCCTGTGACAACAGCCATTGCATTCTTTGTAGCTGTGGTGCTGCCAGTATATACAAAGAGTCCATCAGGTTCCCTCTCTATGGGCCAGACACTCACTTCCTCAGCAAACCCCCCTCACCTGCCTACAGGCCGCTCTGGGCTCAGGCAGCCTCCCTTGTCCTCCAGGCTCAGAGCTCTCTTCCTTAATGAGATACCAGTCATGGACCAGTTCATGAATGACTACGTGGAAGAAGCCAACCGGGAAATTGAGAAGTATAACCAGGAGCTGGAACAGCAGGAGTATCATGACCTCTTTGAGCTGAAGCCCTAGAGGAAGGCTGGGCCCGTACGTCCTGCAGAATGTCCACCTTGGAGATGGACGAACGGGTGTCTTAACCTCAGCTCTGCTGGAGGCCTCTCCCTTAAGGGGCTGTCTTTGTTCTCCTTGGCCTGTGTGGGCTGGCTTGAGTGCATGTTGTCTTTATTCCCTGTATAGCGCTGAAGAGCATCACCTGCACCATTGATTTTGGGGGTCGGGGGAATACTCAAGGATGAGCAGATGGGGCCTGCCCGTCTACGTGTGCAACTGGCAGTCCAGGAGCTCTGGGTTTCTGATAACAGGATCTCCTTTGGGCTCTTGAGGTTGGGGAGAAGCATTAGGATTACACAGAGGAGCTACTGGGACTTAGAAGGAACCCTGGCTGCCTGAACTGTGGCCGTGTCTGGGAGGCGAGGCCACGACAGGCCTCAAGCCTCAGATGCTGCTCCACGAGAGCCATCTTCCCCAGTGGAGTGCCTGCCTCCCCTGCTAGGCCCGTTTCCCTGAAGGAGCTGGCCGTACTGGCCGTGGGCCCAGTCCTGGGAGGAGCAGCACAGCCTTGCCCAGGCCCAGTCCACAGAGCCAGCAGCTTGGGTTGAGATGAATGATGTGTTCACAAATGAGGGGATTTCCCTTCTGGACTAAACTGAAGGAGAGGCTTGTTGCTTTCCAGAGGTGTGTGGCTCTTAAGTTGACATCAGCTTTTCCCCTTGTGGGTGGTTCTTTAGCTCTCCTGTCACACCATTCGGGTGTCCTAATGTAGGGACAAGAGCAAGCCTGCTGCTCAGGCCCCCTGGCGAGGCTTCACCTCACTGTGGAAGGGGGCGTCCTGCAGCTGGTTAGTCTTAGGCCTGGTGGCTGATCACTTGTGGGGTCAGTCTCCAGCACCCAGCGCTCCCACAAGCCTTGCCAAGGAAGGCCTGCTTTTCAGCCACAAACTTCAGGAAACTCATCCCCCCGCTCCCCAAAGTGTTGTTGCTGGCCCTGGGCTTGTGTGGCTCCTGAGGATTGGGAATTTCAAATAATTGCAATACCTGAGTTAGAATTCCTTCTAATGGCATCGTTTTAAGCTGGACCATAAAGCAGAGGGGAATTACAAGTGTGTCCCATGCCTGACCTTCATAATTGGTGTGGGGGACAGGGGAGTCACAGCCACTGATATTTAGGTGATGTCTCTTAGGACTTCAGTGCCTCAGCTGCCTGAACTGTAAATGTTTTCTGAATTTCACATATTTTTTTTTGCATGCCTTAGGAAGAAGCACATAGGTAAAACCAGCAGTTTCCAGTAATATAGGGGGTTTTTGAGCAAGGCCCCTGGAGCAGCGGAGAGACAAGATGGAGCACATGTAGTCTGTGTGCCTGGTCACACAGAGGCCTGCATGCAAGTAGCAAAGCAGCTCTCAAGGGCTTGTCAGTAAAATATATTAGAAAAAAAAAAAAAACAATTTGAAGCCAAATGAACAAAACTCCAGATACCATTGATAAGAAATTTTGCATCAAGAAGGGCTTCTGAAAAGACCCACGTGCTCCAGTCCCAGCTCCAAAAGCCACTGATGACAAGGGCCCCACTGTGGAACCTAAGTCTGGGAGCCCCCTGACTTCTGGCTGGCCAGAGGCTGCGGTCCGTCAAGGGCTTGCCTCGCTTCAGAATCAGTAACATAGATCTTAAGTGCAATTGATTAATAAGCAGTGAGTTACTGTAGCTTCCTTTAGCTCTACCGAACTCTTTTTAAAAACTCAAACTTGAGCAGCCTTAGAAAAGGGGTTGGGGGGTGGGAACCACAGGCCATTTCTCTAAGTGGGCTGCTGTGAAGTTTTAAATGAAAGCTCTAGCTTTAGGAGCTTGAGCCATTTCCTGACTGCACTGGCCTGGCAGTCTGGCTGCTGCAGAAGAGTTTTTAAAGAGGGGTCGGAGCCCGCCCGTGAGAGCGGGTCTTCTCACCATGTGGGGCTGTACTACGTGGTGGTCTTTGTTTCTCTTCACAGAAATGCTCTCTCACCAACTTGCCCCACTGTCCCAACTCCTCTCCTCTTAGAGAAAAAACTGTGATTACCTCAACTTGAATATGAAACTGTGATTGAAAAAAGTCAAAACGTGAAGAAGCATCAAAGCCAAAAAGGCAAAACTGGCTGAGGCCTCTGTTGATGCTCCTCAGCCTACTCGGGAACGTGAAGGGGCAGCTGGCGAAAGGGCATTCCTGGGGCCACTTGCTCTGCCCCACTGATAAGGCACACCCGCGGTGCACTGTGAGCTCTTTGAGGACTGAGGCCAGGGGATGCCTCCTGGAACCTGCCAGGCCTCTCTGTTCTGTGAAGGTCAGTATCCACTTGATTCCTCCAGGCGGCGCTCCAGGTGGGAGGAGCAGGGTCTTCTGCTGTTTCCAAAGGAATGGCCATGACACTGCTTTTGACCTTAGAAGTGGATCCAGGGACCCAGCAAAGAGCGGGGGTGGGTTCCCAGGGACAGGCAGTCCTCCCGGGGCTTACATGCTTTTTGCTAACTTTCCTATTAGCAGCTTCAGTTTATATCACCCAGAGTGCGTGGGATAATGTTGAAGTCGCTGAAGTTACGGGTTATTTTATGTTTTTACATGGGATTTTTCTGTTTTTGATTGGAAGAAGGAGACAGAAATTGGAGGAAATGGGATTATTATCCTAGGGAAGGGCCGTTGGCAAGGAGTTGAGCCGGCCCCTCTGAGCCCTGGGGGCTATCTGACCTGAAGCCTGGACACTGGGCCCTTCAGGTCGCAAGAAAAAGTTCCCTCCTAAATTCTATTAGGATTTTGGAGAATTTTTGCACAGTAAGAAGCTCTGGGTTGCTCCTTGGGCTTCTCAAAAGGGAAAAGTTCAATTCAAAGATTGTAAACTACGAAGTATTCCAGCCGTGTTGCTGATCTAGTTGGATAGTTGTACCTCAAAAAAGTAGGTGAGAACTGGCTTCCTCATTGTCCCAGGATGTCAAATACTAATGACATAAGAGCTCACTTACGTGCCAAAATTCACTTTTATACTAGTTTTTCAGTGCTTTAATATTTGTAACTTAAATTTTAAAACTCGTATTTACAAACACTACTGTAACTTCAGTGAAACTGAATTGTGCGATTGAAGCTTTTTGCTTATCATAGTATTTATTACACTACTTAATTCAGTAAATATATAAAAGTAGCCTTCAATTTATTTTTATATTATTTTACATGTTTTTACCTGCAGTTGTGTATGTGAATTTACCTTGGTAATCGAGATGTCATGCTAAGGACCAATAAACTATCACTGAACAAGCAAGGCCTCCAGACGATGCCTGTGCCATACACTCAGTCCCGTGTGCTCCTGGGGCGGGGGTGACGGGGGCCGGCCCTCAGCCTCCCCTGGACGCCTCTGGTGGGGATGCTGCGGGAAGTCCTCGGAGCTCACACTCCCTCCCTAGACGCCGGAGCAGCCCGTGGAGAGTAAGAATAAAATTCATCTGAAGAAACCACACTGGCTTGCGGGGTGGGAACTTGGGGAGTCCCAGAACTTGGGGAGGGGCTCAAGGAAGCCGGCTATGGGAACGGGGCTCTCCCGGCCCACCCGTGTCCCTCACCCTCGTCTTAGTCCGCCGTGCACGGGTGCCGGTTCTCGGCCCCAGCCTGCCGCGGCCGAGCTGTAGTAGGAACCACGCCTTTCCAGCCTGATGGGCGCGTTTCCGCGCAGTGAAAGCTTGGCGAGGTGGCTCCTCGGTCCTACTTTATACATGGGGACGACTGGAGGCGCTGACGGGTCAAGTAAGGGCCAGATTTGGCGCTGCGCGTTGGAACCGCAAGTTCTAACGGGGGGGTTTGCCGGAGCCCGCGGAGCTCTAGAGGAGCGACCAGAAAGGCATCAGCTGTCCCCGTGCAAGCTCGGGTTCCACTCGCCAGGCGGTTCCTGCCGCACGTGGCGCGGGCCTCCCACCTGACCACACCCCGGGCCCCCGCTGGCCGCGCAGGGAGGTGAGGAAAAGGGGCGCCCGCCGCCAGTCCATAGACACCCTGCTTCCTGTCAACCAGTCGCTGGGTGGGACAAGGGGAAATGCCCCACTGGGCAGATGTGGAAGCTGGCCCGGGGGAAAGGGTGTAGCCTCCGCAGATAGCTTCAGGTGATTGGGATGGTGGTCTTAGGTTTGGAAGTTCCTTGAGATAAATTAGTCCTGTGCAAACCAAATGCAAATCTGCACGGGAAGGGCCTGGTAGACTTGGGGGAGGGGGCTGGCGGCAGTGTTACCCTTTCACAACCTCTTCCCCAGAGCCTCCGGCATCCCCATCCTGCAGGCCGGGGTTTGAACTTTGATGGAGCGCCTGCGGTTGCATTACGGCAAAACCTCTAGGGTTTGGGGATTAACCCCTAGGAATTGCCAGAACGATGGGGAGACAGTAAATGGTGAAGGGCTCTCAGAGGGACTTAGAGGCCAGGAA